>NC_000016.10:62744318-63047348 GCF_000001405.40 Homo sapiens
CCTAGCTCATCAGTCTATCCATTTTCAGGGAGACTGTCCCTCAAAGTTCTGTGCTTAAAGATTAAAGACATACTGTTTTTATTTGCAGAGAAAATAAAGCTTGGAGAATTTGTTTAACTGACACACTAGAGGGAGATACATCAACATCAATAACAAAAGAAAATGCAGACATCAACATCTATTAAAATCAATTTTAATAAAAAACTATCTTCAAAAGGGTTTTTCTTTTACTTTCCGTATTTTATTTTCCACTCTTACTTCATACAGGATCATTTTCATCAACAGCCAATTATACTATGCATGCAATTATTTCATGCTTCTATGTTTTTGCCTCACTCATTCCCATTGCCTAGAATGTCCCTCTCATTTTGCCAAAAGAGGTCTAGCTGCCTTTTAGAACTTTCTCTAATATCCGCCTTTTTTCACTGAACCTCAAAACATGAATAAATTTATAAATATGTGTAACTTCTTTTTTTTTTTTTTTTTTTTTGAGACGGAGTCTCGCTCTTCCGCCCAGGCTGGACTGCAGTGGCGCTATCTTGGCTCACTGCAAGCTCCGCCTCCCGGGTTCACGCCATTCTCCTGCCTCAGCCTCCGAGTAGCTGGGACTACAGGCGCCCACCCCCACGCCCGGCTAATTTTTTCTATTTTTAGTAGAGACGGGGTTTCACCGTGTTAGCCAGGATGGTCTGGATCTCCTGACCTCGTGATCCGCCCGCCTCGGCCTCACAAAGTGCTGGGATTACAGGCGTGAGCCACCGCGCCCGGCCAAAATATGTGTAACCTCTATAAACAAGTATATATGTCTTCTGTGTTCCTCTGAGGAACACAGGTGAGCAAACTGTGTTGCTCAGGGGTCAAATGTGTTATGCTAACCGAGGGTACAGTACTGACCAGGAGATATTCAGGCTTTGCTCTTAAGACCTTATGCTGTGATGGAGACAGATCAAGAAGCAAGCAAAGAAAAATGAATCAAACAATTGCAAATTGTGGTATTTAAAAAAAGTTTAAAAGATTAATATAGATCATAAAAGAGATAATGAATTTTTGGAAGCACAGTGATAAACATTAACATTGAGAGACAGAGTAGCCAGGTGAAGGGGGGCATGGTTGATGGTAGTGGTGGAGATCATCCAGGTGGAGAATAGAGCTTCACATATTAAAGAAACTGGAACAAGATGGGTATGGTGTGAGCAGTATAAGCAAAGAATATTGAGGCAGGTTGAGTTTAGAGGCCTAGGCAGGCTCATTCAGAGCCTTTTGATGGGCAAACATTTTGTTTTGCTATTTTGGGGGAAGTTACTAAAACCTTTAATGTATGCCTCACTTTGTTTTGATATAAAATTAATCTAAAGTAGTCAGATCTTCAGCATCCAGCTAGATTAGTTTTGGAGGTTGTAAACTATTGGTACCACTATCTAAAACAAAATATAGATTACACGCATATTGTATGATTAGAAAGTTAACCCTTCCAGAACATTCCCTTGGACTTGTTTCCAGTCAATTTTCCCCTTGTCCACTAACTTCCATCTTCCTCATAGCAACCACAATTCTGATTTTTCTTATTACTAGTTTTGTTTCATTTGGATTTCAATGAAATAGAATCATACAATATGAGTGTAATCTAATTTTTACACGTTAAAAATATCACACTTATGTACACAAAGGTGCAACTTTACTAAGTAAAATTTAGGGTATACCATTCAGAGTACAACTTCAACTGTTCAGATGTATAATTGTGTACACATCTACACACATGGCACACTAAATTAACATGGTAGTCAACAGAGAACTGTACAGATTTGAGATCACTTTTATGAAAGTTTCTGAAACTTGCTCATGTATCATATGGAGTGTTTGAAAGAACGGGGGAACTTTAATGTCTCCATTGATATTCTGCATGGAAAACTGAGTAGATGATAGAAGGCAGGTCATGGTAATGCAAATCAAAAGATAAATTCTGGGAAGTTGTGTTTGAGATACATATGGGATTATTCCAGGGCTATAGAAAGTTTAGATATAAAAATATCATAATCACCGAGAATTCTTGCCTAAATGTATAAATCTAGTAGTGATTAGCATAAGAATAGTGATTAATTCCTTGGGAACTATTAGGTCGGTGTAAAAGTAATTGCTGTTTTGCCATTACTTTCAATTGGCAAGAAACGCAATTGCACCAAACTAGTAATAACTTTATTGGGAGCAGGTGGTGGCAGGAGTATAATAAAGTGACTATGACCAAACCCTGAGCAAACCCAATTTACAGCAACCACAATTTACAGATTTGAGATTGAGGGGAAGACATCACAGGAAAATAATGGGGGAAAAACCATAGAATTAAAAAAAAAATACATCAGCAGAGCGGTTAGCTTCAGTCCAAATACAATATTTCAAATTGAAAAGAGTACCTTATTTTTTTGAGAGCTAATGAAAAGTCCGTTATGATGAGAACAGAGAAAGCCATTCTTTGCCAGTGTGGAAGGCATGAATGACTTTAATGAGTACAGCTTCAGTGGAATAGTATAACCAAAACTGAATCAGAATGGGCTGAAGAGTGAGAGGGATATAAGCAGATGAAGATAGCTTGTATAGACAATAGTTTTGAGAAAATGGACCAGGACAGAGAGCAGAGAAGATTCATGGCTGAAACGACGTCACAGATTTAACTTCTGGATTGTACTTAACCAGTGAGCAGATGATTGGTGGTCTGAACATATAAAACAGAATGGATAAGAAACCAGAGGGGTAAAAATGTGTTTTTTTTGGAAAATATTTGCCATCTATTTTGATCAGAGAATAGACATGTGGTTGGTAGCAACTGGAAATAAGGCAGAAAAGACTAAGTTCATACTTGGCAACACTATAGAAAGCAATATATATATGTGTGTGTGTGTGTGTGTGTGTGTGTTGGTGTGTGTATATACATAAAATATCTGTTACGCTAATTGCTGATATATATCATATATACTAATTATGTACTGATTGCTGATATATATATGTCACACATAAATATCTGTTACACTAATTGCTGATATTTACATATATATATATATCAGCAATTAGTGTAACAGATTAGATGGGCCTGTGGCCCTCTCCCTTGGAAAGCACATCTCTCCTTTAAAATGTTCATATTTGGTTCTTTGTGAGTTTCTATTCCAGGGAATCTGTTCTTCTCTGTCCTTTTTCTTATTATATACTCTAGGTTTCCTGTATAACTGATCTGAATAAAATCCTGCTGAAAGAACAGATTGCAAATGCCACCTTTAGCAGCACCAAACTCTCTAAGATTTGCAAAATTTCTATTTTCTGGTGACCAGCCAGAATGTATTTTATAAGTCTCCCCTCTTGATGAACAACAACTAATTTCTACTTCCCTTAGAAGAACAATTCTGTTCCTGAGGGGCAGGTATTAGAGCCAACATTGAGGGGAGCCCGGTATCTCAGAAGAAAAGAATTCCTTGCTAATTGTGGGCGTCTTTGCCGGAATAGCACTGTGCAATTGTGATAGGGGCCACAGAAATAAGAAAGCAAGGCTTTGTAATTCCCTAAACTTCAGGATTGAGCTACATCAGAGATTAAGGAAATTGCAGTAAATTTTATCAAAGTTTCTAAGCAGTGATGCAGTCAAGAGTTAATAAATTCATAGACTTGAGTTTTTGGTATGGCTAAATTTAATTATATGGTACATACAAGCATTCAATTTTATGAAGGTGAAAATAGGATACCTTGCAATAAAATGAACATTGGCATCAAAGTGTTCAAATTTGCAGATTTAATGTGCTTCAAAATAGCTTCATTTTATCACCATTCAACTGCAAAAAAAATCAAACTCATCTAGGAATTAATATCTAATATAGAGAATGACAACGTGAAGCTTTCTTTTCTATTTCAGAAGGCATGGGAAATGGGTGTAAGAATGATCATGTGAAATTTATTTGGTGACAGTTAACAGCCTCTCCCCAAGTGGTCTTTAAAATAAATAGATACACATCATTTAAGGTCTCTCTAGATTGAGAGAAGAGAGGTGCTAAATTACAAGAGAAACAACTCACTTTCCAGGCCTCTGACCTTCCTCCTTCTACCTCCCTCACGTTCTAACCTGTTTCTCTAATACCTGAAGCTCCAATTTTACCATATGCTCAAATAAACACCACACAATCTTTGAATTTTCAATCTATGTATGATCCAAAATAACATAACAAGCATATACAATATTTAAGATGAAATTTCCAATTTTACACCAGATTGAGAGGAAATTTACTGATACCTAGTTGGATGTGGCTAAGCAGAGCTCGTGAAGATTTCTTGATTATCCAGTTTTTTTCAATCGATGCAGACGGCCAAATCAAAGTTTCAGGCCAAATAAAATTTATCTTGAAGCCTCATTGCTTCACTGAAATTAACAGGATTAACCAGATAATTGGCAAAACTTTGTTTCCGTTCGTGGGATGTGAAATGGATTCAGGTGACACTGCTCTCCCAGGTGTATATTAGACACAGCTGGGATGCCATCTATGGTCCTCATTACCGTGTTATGTGGGTTACGGAAGCAGAATCTTTCTTTTCTGAGGAAGCATGGCATCGTTTTAAAGAACATATTTGTATCAGACTGTTTGAGGTTCCACCATTTATTGTAAGTCCTTGTGCAAGATTCATAAGCCCTTTGGTCTTAGTTTCCTCATCTCAAAAATAGGAAATAATTGTGCAAACCTAATAGGGCTGCTGTGACAGTAAAAGGTATCATCATTTGTAAACCATGTGGTATAATGTTTTAGATGCAGTCAACTCCCAATGTATGTTGTTGTTGTTGATATATACTCTTTGTTACTATTGCATTAATATTAATACACCTGTGAATTCTAAGCTTTGTCACAGATTCCCAAGTTCCCCACTAATGATGGATGAATGATTTGGGGGTACCCAAAGCATAAACCAGTGGACTGACTGTTTTGTTGAGTGGCCATTGGCTAATTCAGAAGAGTAAGTTAATAATTTTAAAATGAAATTAAATATTAACATTATGTAACTTGGGCAATTCATTAAGTATTTTTTTCTTATTAAAAAAGGTGTACAAGTCCAGTTAGCACTTCAGAAAAGGTAGATAAAACCTATTCCATATTTTACCAGTTTGGGTTGGGATAGATCCTATTCTCTCTCTCTCCCTACACACACACACACACACACACACACACACACACACACACACACACACACTCTGTTAAGCTTAACAATATATTATGGACATCTTCCCCATCATTATACATTTCACTCTTGAACAACACAGAAGTTAGGGGCACCAATCTCCCATGCAGTTGAAAATCTATGTATAATTTTTGACTCCCCCAAAACTTAACTACTAATAGCCTACCATTGACCAGAACCCTTACCAATAACAGTCAATTAACAAATATTTTGAATGTTATATGTATTATATACTGTAGTTTTATAATAAAATAAGCTGGAGAATATAAAATGTTATTAAGGAAATCAAAAGTAAGAGAAAATATATTTACTATTCCTTTAGTGGAAATCTATAATCATAAGTCTTCATCCTCATTGTCTTCACATTAAGTAGGCCAAGGAGGAGGAAGAAGAGGCAGGTTTTTTTTTTTTTTTTTTTTTTTTTTGCTGTCTTAGGGGTGGCAGAGGGAGGAGAAAGTCCACATGTAAGTGGATCCACGCAGCTGAAACCTGTGTTGCCCAGGAGTCAACTGTAAACATACACACATACAAACACATACACACATAAACTTATCAATATATTATGGACATCTGTCTGATCATTATATATTCTTCTATAATAGAAGTTTAATTTTTAATAGATAACAGAAATAAATATAGCAATTTTGACAGGAAACAATGTGGAGCGCTATGTTGAAAACAAAAATCGTCGTCAGCTTTCTACCATTTTATTTTCAGACTAGAGAGATCAAAGAAGAACTCATAATATTACCTTGGCCAGGACCACTCCATGAGCATCTTCCATCCCTTTGTGTTTATTCCTGCTTTATGTGTTTGACAGAGAGGCATGAGTCTCTCTGATGCTGACTCTTTCAAGAAACACACCCATTCCTTCAATTAATTTATGAGTTATTCAGGACCTTGTAACAATTATTAATTCTGTTAATGCTAGATCTTGATTTTTATGTATATGTTTATCACATTCCCATTCAAATTAATGTTCATTTTCAAGCTATAAAGATAAAAAAACTCAGGGCTTTCTGACTTATTGAAGATGAAAGGCCATATATATGAACTATCTATGGAGATGTTGTTTTCTTGCTAGCAACACTTACTATCACTGCCTTATCCATCCCTTCTCTGACTTTGGCTTAAGGATAATGCTTTTTCCTCCTCCTGGAGATTCTACTTGGTTACCTCTGCTTTTCCTGATGCATCCAGTGAGACCCACAGATTACAAACCAAACTGTGTTTTTTTTTTTTTTCAGCACAAATCTATTCATTTGTTTTTCACAATTGAGGAAATATGAATATACAATACCCACACTACATAAGCAAGTTTCAAATACATCTACATGTGTATCTGAAATGGATCTGGAAAGCAAACAGGGTAATGCTGAAAGAAAATCTTAATGAAATTTTTCTGTTTCTACTGAGGATTAATGAACACATATTTGACGAGTATTTGACCACAATTGCTATGTCATATCGAGATTTTGCAGGATACATTAATAATCAAGAAGTGTTACAGGATTTTTTTTCTCTTTAGAATCATTCCCTTTATATTTTGAATTAAGGCTTGAAATTTCTTTGTAGTAATGCAAAATATTTAGACTTTTAAAAATTTGCCTTTAATTTGAGAAATGTAAATCTGAAATTCTAGGTGTTCCTGAATTGTGATGTTATTGACAATATAGTTACTCTAATTCCAATGGTCAATTGAAGTTAAAACCTAGGGAATAAAAAATAAACTGAATTTATGTCTTCTAGATGGTAAATAGTCTTTGATATATTTCATAAAGGGAAGAATTTACAGTACTGAAGAATATACTGCACATAATATAGAACTATCTGTTGCTTTCATAGTTTAGAAATTCGGGGCTCAGGGAAGTCCAGTGATTTGCCAAATATTACTCTGCCTTTTAAACCACAGCTGAGTTTCAGTTCTGTTTTCTACTATGTGTCTATGGGGTTTTTATTTGTCTCCATCCTATGATTGAACTAGTATTTGTTAATAGTTAATATTTAAGTAAAAACTCAACATCTACATGGATCTAGAGGGGAATTAAGGAGTTGCTGTCATTGGTGTCAACATTTTAGTGGAGGAGGACATTCTTGGCATTGTCCCAGATCAGTTCAAGAGCTCCGGCTTGTTCCATGTGGTCCTTCTTTGGACAGGTAAACATCTCTGTTCCACCCCGCCTGCATCATCTTATCTTACCAGATTGTCATGAGGATATCACGAGGTGGCTTAATAGCCCAGTAGAGGTATGAAGCTAGGGGTTCAAGAAGTAGGAGAAGAAAAAACATACAGCTGTCAATACAGTAGTATCCCTGCATACCTACTATAATATAATAGCTATCATGCTAAAGATAAAACATACCACATGCTGGAAAGTATATGGAGCAACAGAAACTCTTATGCACTGCTTTCAGGAGGCGGAGTGGGTAGCTGTATATATAACTGGTATAACTACTTTAGAAGGGCATTTGACAATATCTACCAAAGGTGAACATTTGCATCCTGTAGAACTTTTAAATGCAGCCATAAGGTTAGAGCCAAAATAAATGGCAGAAAAAACAAAGTACTAAAACATTCACAACAGAAATAGAAAGAACAGGCCTAACCTAAACACTAATAACATACCTTCAAAAGTGAAATGTATCATTAGTTGGTGACACATTCACACACTGAATTGCTATACAGCAATGATAATCAAAAGTCTATGACACACAATATGCACAAATTTTGAAACAACGTTGAGCAAAATACACCAAAGAGCATATCGTAGGTTTCACTTACGTAAAGTTCAAACACACACATTTATCTATGACGCTAGAAATCAGTACGGTGATTATCATTGGCGACAGTGGAATGAATAATAAATGGAGGAGACATGAACCGTCTGAAGGCAGGTAATTGTCTTTTAGTTAAATTGGAGTGCGGATTAAAAGGTGCATTTCCTTTGAAAATTCATTGATTACATTATGACTTCTGCACCATTTTATTTTTAATTTGGGAAAGTATTTTTTAAATGTCTTCACACTTTAATTTATTTAAAAGCTAAGTGACTGTTTAAAGCAACAATAATAACTATGGATTGTGTGGTTAATAAAATTTCTAACAAAAACATCGCAATGCAGCTATGCTTATTCTCTATGCTTATTTGGACAACATTAGCTCTATTTGTACTACACGAAGAAGTATTCGTTGATCTATTTATTTTCCATTTCTATATTTCATGCCCTGGATTTAAAGTTACAATTCACTCTTTTAACTGATTTCTGATTATATATATTTTTTCCTCTGGCATCCAGGTTTTTTTGTTTTGTTTTTGTAGGTCTATCGGCTGTTCAGACCTCTCTCCTACCAGGTCTCTGGCCTTCCAGGCAGGCAGCCTATTTCTCCATTTTCCCACCCACTGCCAATCAGTTCACCGTCAATTCTCCTGCTTTCCATTGTCATGGCAGAGTGCAGCTTTCAGAGCCCGCCATGTTGGCAGCCTTCAATGCTTCTCCCTGGGGTTTGCAATCTCATTCCTGTGATGGCCTCAGGGCCTGCCAGGCCTGGGTCATTTCCAGCGCCTCTCCTGTGAGAGGTTCCCTCCCCCAGCATTGTCCAGAGGGTTTGTATTATGATTATGGGTAATGGGCTTTCCATCCTTCAGCTGTCAAAAGCTCTCTCTGCAGTTTATCCCCACTGTCTTTTAATTTTCACTTTTTAACTGAAAGCAAAATGAAACAAACAAGAGGTTTATAATCACCTCAATTTAACATTTGGAATGACAAAAAAAAAGAAAAGAAAAATAAATCGGCAGTATCTGAGTGCTTTTGAAAGCCTCAGCTGCCTGTTGGCTTTTCCTGTTTTGTTCTATTTTCCTCTTTACCTCCTTCCTCATACCACCCTCCTCTTTCCCCCTTCCTGGAGTCTGAGAACTGTCCACGTGATGATAGCTTTCAATACCACTCACCAGAGTCATTTAACCATGGGTTTTAACCTCTGGTTTGTAGCAGCTTGGTGCACCATTAAATCAGTAGTCTTGTTGCAGCACCAGAAAGAGTTGAAGAGCTATTAAATTCAACATAATTGTTTTGGAAATGGTGATTGCATGCCGTACCCACTGGTTTAGTCATAGTTAAGAGAGCACTAATCTATTTTTCCCCTGCAACCAAGTGTTTTGCAAAACTTCATAGCTTGGCATATTCCATTACCCAGACCCCTAGATAAGAGTTTCCTGTGAGAAAATTTATAATGTGTTCCTTGTACTTTAATCATGAAATATAAATTCAAATGCACATGGAAATGGACCCTTAAAACTGGACCTGAGTGTCTATTTTGCCTTCGGCTAACTATCCAAGATTCCTTTTAAAGCAAAATGCCTTGACCCCGTGGCTAGAATTTTGGTGAGGGGCAATTTTAAGAACTAGATAACAATAATTATGGCAAGTAGCTTCTAATATGGCCCCAGTGACTTCCAGTTCTCAGAATTCACAATCTGGTGCATGCTGTTCACTTGAATATGGATTGGACCTAATGAATTGCTTCTAATAAATAGAATACCAAAAAAAAAAAAGATGTAATATCACTTCTGAAATTAAGTTACCAAGAGACTGGCTTTTTTTCCTGGGCATCCACTCTTGCTTGCTTGCTCTGAGGGAAGCCAGCTGCCATGTCATAAGCTTCCATATGGAGAGTTCCACCTGATGAGGAGCTGATGGTATCCCCGGAGTTTACAGGTAACCAGGAAGTGAGGCCTCACTGTAATTGCCCTTGAGGAACTGAATACTGTCAACAATAATATACACAAGCTTGGAAGTGTATGTGCCCCAATAAAGCCCTGAGATAACTGTAGCCCAGCCAGACATTTTGATTGTAGCCCATCTAACACATCTCCACTGGAGGACTCAGCTAAACCACACCCAGATTCCTAATCCACAGAAGCTACGAGATCATGTGTTCATTGTGTTAAGCCACTAAGTTCCAAGATATTTATTATATATTAATAGATAACCATTACAATGATAGTAATAAAAATTATTACCATTGTTTACATTGTTTCTTATGGTTTAACATTCTTTTAAAAATATATTACTACATCTTCAAAACAAAGATATACAATAGGTATTATCGTTTCCACTTATTTCTTTTTTTTTAAGATAAGAAACTGAGGCTCGGAAATATTAAGCAGGTTACCAGTGTTCACTCAGCTTGTGAAGTGGCGGAGTTTGTGTCAGAACCCTAAATGATAACTCTAAACCTTGTGTTCTTCCAAAAGAAAAGTGCTTTGTAAACTGTACAATTTATTATAAATGGGAGTTTAAAATGCCAAAGATTAGACAAATAACACTTCTAACAATAGGGCTTCATGTTTAGAATGTAATACTCTGAAACCTTTGATAATGCAAATTTCTTAGAGAAAGTGCTACCATTTTAATCCCATGAATTCCTGGCATCTCAACATTAGGCAAGAAGAGTTCATATGAAGGGAAGAGGGAGAGAAAGAATTTGAAGTCTTAGCTTACCAAATAAGGATGAAGAGCAAATAAAGATTCAAAAAGTTTGTGAAAACCATGACATGTCTCACAAATTAAAGATGGGTAATATTTCCAAACATCTCCTAATAATGAATCCATTTAAATTATGCCATAAATATTTTAAAATAATTATATGAATTAATAAATGACTAGCGGGTACTGCTAAAAGAAAGACGTGGTGATAATGTTTTACATAAAGTACTGGAAATTCTCTCTTTCTCTCTGTCACACACACACTTACTCATAGGATACCCAGGACATAGTAGATATTAAAAAAAATTACTGAAGCTGAACCTGAAATGTTTATTTCAGAAGGTTATATATTTGTAATGAGCCATAGGAATGTGTTGCATTACTTTGTTTTGTTCAAAATGGCTTGTGTTGCTCAAAATAATGCATTACATAGATGTAGATTTAATAATCACCATAGCAACCAAAATGTAAATCTTCCTTTGTATAGCCTCGCCATGTATTATTTTAAATACATTTAATCTTTAGAACCCACAGAGAGTTGATAGCTTGAGCCTTTGTCTTTTATTCACTCTAAGACTAATTTAAGAAGAGATATTATTTCTTTAGAGATGGAGATTGGGACTTAGATCAGTCTTCTATTGCTGTTGTAACAAATTACCACAAACTTAGTGGCTTTGAAAAACAAAAATTTATTATCTTGCTGTTGAGAAGGTCAGAAGTCTAAAAAGGGTCAACAGGGTTACCTTCCTTGTAGAGGCTCTGCTGAGGAATTGTTTTCCTTGACTTTTTCAGCTTCTAGAGAGCACCTGCTTTCCTTGGCCCTTCATCCCTTTCTAAATCTTCAAAGCCAGCACAATAGCATATTAAAATTTCTACCTCTCTGGTCTCTGTTTCTATCGTCACATTTCCTACTCTGAGCCTCCCGCTTATAAGGACTCTGATATGGTTTGGCTCTGTGTCCCCACCCAAATCTCATCTCAAATTGTAATCCCCATGTGCAGAGGGAGGGAGGTGATTGGATCCCCACGCTGTTCTCATGAAAGTGAGTGAATTCTCATGAGATCTGATGGTTTTCAAAGCAGCAGTTTTTTACCCTGCGCTCTCACTTCTCTTTTTTGCTGCTTTGTGAGGAAGCTGCCTACTTCCCCTTCCACCATGATTCTAAGTTTCCTGAGGTTTCCCCAGCCACGTGGAACTGTGAGTCAATTAAACCTCTTCTTTATAAATTACCCAGTCTCCAGTAGTATCTTTATCAGTGTGAGCACGGACTAATCCAGACTCCTTTGATCACATTAGGCCCATAAGAATAATCTAAAATAGTCTTCCTATCTCAAAATCTCTAACTTAATCATATCTGTAAAGTCCCTTTTGGAATGTAAGATACCGTATACACAGGTTCCAGGAATTAGGATGTGGATGTCTTTGGGGGCCATTGTTCTCTCTCCACGGAAACTACTTTGGTTTGCAGAGAGAACTAAGAAAAATAATTTTCTTGAGAAGTGTCTGTTCATATCCTTTGCCCACTTTTTGATGGGGTTGTTTGATTTTTTCTTGTAAGTTTTGTTTAAGTTATTTGTAGATTCTGGATATTAGCCCTTTTTGTCGAAATCCTAATGTAAGAACCCATGAAGAAAGAAAACAAAGGCTAATGTTTTTGTCTGACTCCTTGTTTCACCATAATGGTAGGGGGCTTACTGATGCTCTGGTTCAAACATGCCTGACTGGCTCATTCATAAATTCACATTCTCACATACTCAGTGTTACACACTGTCATCTTCTGTTCAAAGAAAATAACAAAATGAGTATGAAATTGTTATTTCTGTCATCTACAATTCCTCCAGCACTTTTCTGTACTCAGCATCTGATGTTGGGAATATTTTCTGACAGAGTTGTTTGAGTGCTTTAATAATCTTCAAAAAGCTTGGCCACCTTTGTCTTCAACTAATATTGTATGGCCTATTTGACTTTAAACAATAGCTTGAGAGAGATAGGAGACTGAAAAAGATGTAACTGATTTATGTTACATACAGAAAGACAAGGAAAGGACCCACAGATTATATATTTACTTCTCCTGAGGTTGGGAAATCCAGTTTCCTGATGGGGGAAAAAATTAAGTACTACTAGAAGAATCAAGCTTAAAACTTCATATTTCGGACTCTGATTTGTTTCTACCTTATAGCTCTGGGTAAAAATAACTTATGGTAAATAATAAAAAAAGTCTACTTGTAAGCTTCATTTTTATCCCTCACAAAAATAATGATCTAATGAGTTAAGAGATTACCTGGAGAATTCAGAATTTATTGACAGTCTGTTCTAATAAAGGTGATAGTAAACTCTTTTAAAAAGAGACCACAAATAAAAAAGTTTTAAAAAGAAACTTAAAAAAGCCGATGGTTTCCCTGAATGATCTCATTTTTATCAATAAAAGTTTAACATCTGCTTACAATAATATAATATTCAAGATACAAAAAAAGACCCAGAAAATTATTATTACTCTCTCTTTGATGTTTTACAACTAAGTAGGGAAAGTCAGAAAATCTAAGGGGGTTCCAAGTTCTGCCATTTATCTACATATATCTATAAGTAGGTTAATTAATATCTTGAAGTGTTGAGGTTTTATGTTTTTTTTAATCCATGCTGAAATTTACAGTTTCACTAGGAAATGCAGTGATTCACTCAGATTAGTTCCTTGGAGTGCTTTTGGCCAGGATTCATGCTGTTTAAAAACAACAACATAAAAAGTACCCATTCTGCTTTATTTTAAATTTAAATCAGAGAATATTACTAGTTTGATTATAGAATAGTCTCCAAGTCCCAAAAAAGAACCATTTTCTTGTATTTGAAATTAATAACTTTTATAGTTATTTAATCAAAAGGCCTATTGAATTCCAATGATGTGACTAACCCCCTGCAAAGTACCATAGGGGGCTGTAAAGAGTGGTATGTGGGCCTGATTTCAGAGAACAGCAACAGGGAAAATACACCAAATATTCTCCAGAAATATACAACGTGCTTAAGAGAAAATTATGGATTTCTGATTCGGTCACTTCTTAAATGCAGTAAAATTAGTAGCCTTCTCATTGTTTCTCCAACATGCTAAGCAATTTCTACCTAAATCATTTCTTCAACCAAGTACTAGTGAAAAGAAGCTGCTTTCAACTCAGAAAATTCTAAGTATCACTTTTCTGGTTAATTCCTTAGTATTTATCATAACTTACATGTTTTATTTGTAGCTTTTACTTTGTGCTGGACATTTTTGTAATTACAAATGTTAGCTCATTTAATTTTTTTATTATTCCTTTATGTATAATTTTAATTTGTGTTTGCCATGTTCCCACCACAACCTCTAATAAGAACTAAAAACATAGAGAAATCATGTCTACATTGAGTGTTTTGAGTGAGACCTAAGGGAGATTTTGGAGAAAAGTGAAACTATTACATGTTTAATTGTCTCATCTTTCTAAATCAGCTCAGTGAGGGTAGTGCCCATAAATCCTCGCATTACTTCTCCAGCGTCTAATATGGTATCTGGCACAGTATCTAGCAGTTAAATATATGTTTCTTAAGTGATAAAGCAAATGGATTTTTAATATACTTAACGTCATGTATTGCAGAGATACAGGATTATGTTTAAAAATAATAAATCACAAACTACGTAATGATATATTGGTTATCATTTTAAATAGTTTTACATTAATATTCATACAACAAGTGGTCACTAAATGTATTGTTGAACTGGGTGAACATCAGAAATGTGATCTTTAGGCATGAGGTACTTGCAATCTGGTTGAAATATAGATCCTATTCTACCCCACTGCAGTGGATACCATGATATACTGCCTAGCTACTTCTTCAAAAATTAAGGATTTATTCACCCAGTTGAAGTGTGTGTTGCTGCCAACAGACAGCCTTCAGCTTTCCACCATCTTTAAGGATTGCCTCAGGTAAGCCTCATCTCTACAAAGGTTCCAGTTCTTCCCAGGTCAGTCCTCCTACACTGACTGGCCTATATGGCCACAAGAAACTGGCCTTTTTTGTCAGTTCTTGGGCAACACTGAAGTGTTATCCCGGCGTCAGACCTTCTCCTGGAGACGGTGACTTCTGTTATACCTGAATCCTAGTCTGTCTGCTCTCTGGCCAATCCTGTGTTGTTTTCCCCCATTTTACAGGGAGGTGACTCCAAGATTGTTTTCTAAAAGTATCTGAGAAAGTAATTTTCATACTAGAGTTTGGTTTCGGGGAACTCAAACTACATTTGTTGCTGCCAGGGAATTTGGAGGAAGTAGGATCTAGCATGGAACTTTCCAGCTGGGTCACTTGCCAGCCAGCTGGCATTAAGGGACCCGTCACTGGCCGTTGAAGGAGCAGATTGTTTCTGGTAGAAGGGATCAATGCAATTGTCCAAACTTCGCCCACATTGAATTGGAATATTATACTAGTTTGAGCAAATGTATTAGCTCTTGAAATGTTTACAGAGGTTTGAACTATCGGAAAACTAGTAACTATAAAAACAGTAGAATTGTTCATTTTGATTGCTAATCTTGATTGCTTTGGAAAAAAAAACAACTTTGGGAGAATGATTAAGCAGTGATTAGAGGCTGTTTGGAACAATAATAGCATGAGGTTAGAATGTACATGAATATGAATAATGTTGAGAAAATCAAGGACAAGAACTCTTGGGATAGAATCACGTGGACCAGTGAAAGAGAGTGGACATAAAGTGTGAAGATCTTCAAATCACGTTTAGCACCCACCAAAATGATCTATTATAGAAAAATCACAAAGCAACTTGGTGAAATCTTTCTATACTTTTATGTGCAAGTTTACCTTGACAATAGGGCCTCTGCTATCACCACTCTCTTAGAAAATGTTTAATCCACCCATGGAAAATCCCTGATATCACTTCAAGTCAAGGACTCCACTTGATAGAAAAAGTGGTATGAGGCCTTTACCATGTATGAGTTCCACAGGTCACATGATGTTCCACACTGCTCAGAAGCTGCCAATTGCCAGACTGATAGAATGATGGAATAGCCAGTTTAATGCACAAATGAGGCACCAATCTGGGGATAACATCTTGAGAATATGGAGAGTCATCCTCCAGGATATGGTGTACACTTGGAGCGTAGGTTCAGGAACCCAGGCATGGCTTGGCTAACCATCACTTCCACTTATCAGAAATACAATATCTGACTTAATTCTTATTCTTGAAATGTGGGACTCTAAAATTAAGGGTCCTAGTTTTTAAGGTGGGAATGCTTCCACTGGGAACACAGAGTCCTGTGGAAATACAAACTACAGCTTCCGCTTTGGTACTTCAGATTTCATGAAAGAGACTAGCACTCAAGAAGCAGAACTACCATCTTTACAGGGGTAATTAGTCCTATTAATAAAAAGAAGTCAGGGCTGCTGTTGGTGGTGGAATTGTCAAAATGAGGGCAGAATGAATGAATTTGGCACACACAAGTGATTCACTTGGGTGCCTCTTTGTACTCCCTTGCCTGATTTTGATAGTAATTGGACAAGTTCAATAACTTCTGCTTACAATGGATATGGTAAACATGAGCTTAAATCTGTCAAGCATATGGATCTGGGTTATGTCACTGGGGGAATCTGCTATGCCAGATGGGGAACTAGCTGAGTGTGGAAGGAGTGTAGAATGGCATCAGAGGTGAAAGAATAGTAGTTGCAACTCTGACAGCAGCTGTTGAGGAGGGATTAGAGTTCATTCTACTAGCCTCCCTCATAGGTTTTCCTAGGAATCCTGGGGCATCTGCTTCTAGAACTCAATTGAAAAGAGTCCCCTCCCTCATGGATATACTTCTATTTGACCATTACTTACCTGAGGATTAATCAATGTAAAAGCATTAATAACTTGCCCTCTTGAGCCAACTTGGGAGAATTCTGAGGGAGTCATCTCAGCTTCAAAGCTCCTCATATGATTGTCCGAGGCCTTTGTTGAGATTGCATAACTTCTTCCACTGCCCAATTCTGCTTTCTTCTATTCTCTTCTACACATGGTCACCCCCAAGAGCACTCTCTTATGAACCTCCAGTTCCTGGGGAACTCAATCTATGACATTCCCTTTCCATCAGAAAAATTACCCGTCCTCATCCCTCCACAGAGGCCATGTTTTTTTTTTTTTTTTTTTTTTTTTTTTTTTTTTTTTGAGACAGAGTCTTGCTCTGTCACCCAGGCTGGAGTGCAGTGGCGCAATCTCAGCTCACTGCAACCTCCACCTCCCAAGTTCAAGCGATTCTCCTGCCTCAGCCTCCAGAGTAGCTGGAACTACAGGCGCATGCCACCAAGCCCAGATAATTTTTTTGTATTTTTGGTAGAGATGGGGTTTCACCATGTTGGCCAGGATGGTCTCGATCTCTTGACCTCGTGATCTGCCCCCCACTCGGCCTCCAAAAGTGCTGGGATTACAGGCGTAAGCCACCACGCCTGGCCCACACAGGCCATATTTTTAAGACTCAGTGTCTTTGAACTCTACCAACTTTGAATTTGAATATCTGAATCTTCCCTTCTTGTAAATGCTTCTACTCTGCTGATTGCATTAGTTATGACAGGTTTCGTGGCTCACTAAGCCAAAAATCCTTACTATTGGGTTACTTACAGGGAAAATTTGGCAAACCCTAATTCAGATCACACCCTTTCCATAGTCTTTCAATATTACCATAGATGGAAGGTGGAAGCTCAACATCTCTTTTCGTTTCATTTTGTTTTATAATATTGTGAATTTTTTTGTGTTTTTTAAATTCTGTTTTACAGTTAAAATATATCATTCACTTCCTTTTTTTCAAGTGCATAACAAATGAAATTACTTCTGAAACTTACTGTGTTTTTACATAATAGTATTGAACATCGATAGTATCAATAGTATTATTGAAATAATATAGCAAATCACTAGTATTGATTTAACATCAACTTTTAAGAAATAAAAGTGCTGTCTGTCTGTCTTGTCTGTCTTAATCCTTTTCCAAGTGAGGTGTACTTACAGACATATGGGAAAGAGAAATAATAAAATAACCAGTGTGATTGCTTCTGAGGCATATTAGCATAAACCATCAGAAGCTTGACTTTCTGTTTGCTAAACTGTTTTAGACAAGATAATTACATTAAAGTGCTTGGTATTTTCAAGTTATTGCATAATGTCGTGAGTCTTAGATGATTTTGTCTGGCTGTGCTCCTGATAGCCAAATCAATGAAAATGTACTGCAGTGAAAGGGGAAGATTTTGGAAGAAGTATGTGGGAGGTCTGGGAGGAACTTCCTTTTTATCTGGACTGTGGAAAGATTTTGCCAAATGTTACCAAAGGAAACAGAATGAGAAAAAATTTAGCGTTGCTCTTCTACTTACAAGAATCAGAGGATGACATAGAACTTTTTAAAAAATGAAATTTATTGTAAGATACTTGTGGTTAAAAATCTAAGACAGGAAATGGAAATCAGCTAGAAACTGAGTAACCTTTGTCTCTCTCTGTCTCTCTTATGGCATCTGATTCTGTCATCTGCTCTCTTCTCTCACCATGGTCTGGCATTTCCTTTATATTTTGGGTATCTTTTCCTACTTCGTGTCTGTTCACTTAATGGTTTCTGCTTCCTCGGGAGTGTAGCTTACAGATACATATTCCCACAATTTCACCTAATGCCTTTTCTGTACCCATGCCTTAATTTCTGTTTAGGTGTCCAATGATCTTGCTTTTCCCCACTCATTTTTCTCATGAAAGATCTCACCGAGAATCAGATGGGCCTGGCTAATTCTGTCATGCTAGAACTCCTTCTGGGCTGTTGCTCAGTTTATTTCATGGCTCTTCTGATCCTGTCTTTTGAAACATCAAATAATACATCTGCTGAGATTGTAGGTATATCATTATAAGGTCTTTATAGAATTTTCTCTGATTTAGGGACTATGGACAGAAAGCTATAAACAAGACACACCTGGTAAGATATTTCTTGCCAACCAATACTTTGACTTAGTTTCCCCTAAAAGCAGAACCTGAAATAAAGGCTTGAATATGCACTTTTTTATTTGGGGCATGACATACAGGGAGTGGGATTAAAGGACAGGGGGAGTAACACAAGAGAAGAGAGAAAGGCTACATACATTTGTGTTAAGGTATTGGTCATTGCTGTGGGTGACTGAAGGCTCTGTCAGCTGGCATCTTCTATAAGTTGCTTTTTGAAATATATCTTAGAATAAAATGCTCCAGAGACAAAGGGGTGGATTTATTCATTGTCTCCACTTGGTCATAGATAGCCCTGTGGGCATTAGCCTCCTACACTGTGGAGTACATATATGTGAGCAAAGAGCAGGTTCTGCAGGCGTCCCTTGCCATGGGATCAGAAAAGACCCCCCACATTAGGAAGGGAGAGGTATGCAGCACAGGCCAAGATGAGCCACTGTCTGATTGCATCTGTGCAATGCAGTTAGAGAACATGGCCACAATAATCTTGAAATGGTACACAGGATCCTTGCCATAGGATCAGAAAAGACCCAGATTAGGAAGGGAGAGGTATGTAGCACAGGCCAAGATGAGCCACTGTCTGATTGCATCTGTGCAATGCTGTTAGAGAACATGGCCACAATAAGCTCGAAATGGTACACAGGGAGGGTCCAAATCAATTGGTTTATATGTTCTATGTATAGAATACACATATTAACCTTGACCCTTGAATAGTCATTGAGTCCTCGCTCTCTCTTCTTACTGCTTCTATAGCTAGACCTCATCAATTCCTGCCTAGAATGTTTTAATCTTTTCTCTTACCCAGTCCCCATCTATTCACCATGTTTTTTCCAGAATAATTAAAACCTACTAATGTCATTATTATTATTGCTAATGTCATTTTTCTTATAATTTAAATAAATCCTTATTTTCTTTAGAAAACAAAGTTTACATATTTGCAAGGCACACAATGAACTTCTAATGCTGTCTTTGCCTGCCTCTTGTTGCATCTTTTCCCAGAATATCCTAATCTCTTTTCAAAACATGGTGCAAATGTCATTTCCTCTCCAAAACCAGACCCCCATTCTTCCATTATTTTTTGCATACCAGTAACATAGGCTACATTATGATAAAATCTGTCTTCATATGAGACTGTACACTCCTTTTGACTAAGGCCCAGATATTATTTTTAATTTAATTTAATTTATTACTTTGAGACAGTCTCGCTCTGTCACCCAGGCTGGAGTGCAGTGGTGCAATCTTGGCTCACTGCAACCTCTGCTTCCCAGGATCAAACAGTTCTCCTGCCTCAGCCTCCCAAGTAGCTGGGATTACAGGCATGCACCGCCATGCCTGGCTAATTTTTGTCTTTTTAATAGAGACAGAGTTTTGCCATGATGGCCAAGCTGTTCTCGAACTCCTGGCCTCAAGTGATCTGCCCGCCTCAGCCTCCTAAAGTGTTAGGATTACAGGCACGAGCCACCGTGCCTGACCCAGACATTATTTTTATATGTACCTCCAGCTTCTGGCACTATATGTGTTTTAGAGCAGGTGTCAATAATAAGTACTTGAATAAATGCATTAAAAGAAATTAAAATAATAAGTATTCTTTTATTCCATGTATTTTGGATGTGACTTCTAATTTTCCATACTGTAGTAATTTCTGTATAACCAGCTTTTATGGGTTCAGATGTTATGACTACCTTCCTTTGCTTTAGATGTTACCAAAAACTTCCTGGCAGTAAATGTAGTAGTTTATGTCTTCACAGCAAACTCTAACTACTCTAGTTTTGGGGGTACATCATTCTGCTGAGTAAGTTGAATTGCATTTTATACACTCAAGTTCGAAAAGTGCTGTTGGAGCAAATCTTAATTTGTATGTGAATCTGAATTCTTACCAAATGAAGTAAATGAGAAATATTGGTATATATTGTGATGTATTTTGTAAAAGCTAAACTCGATTGTATCACTCTAGGTCTGTATAAGAAATATGTTCAGAAATACCATTATGCTAATAAATAATCTCTGCTATATATGTAATATATAAATCTATATATAAGTGTGAACACTTGAAATATGAGAATAACTATAATAGATTCTAATTACTCTGAGTAATCAATTGTCTAACAGAATATAGTTTGAATTCACCTTCATATATAGGTTTTTAATTAAAACCTTTTTCCCCTGAGTGGAAAAACAATGTCTGCTTCCATATTTACTGAGTTCTACATCACTAGAGTTGTTCCAAGAATGTGCATTAGTGAATGTGCTAACATTCCTAGTCTGACAGCCAACCTTTATGGTTTTGTGCAAGTCACTTTGCTTCTTGACATCTCAGTTACTTTCTCCAAAACATGGCAGGAGTAACTTTACTAAATGAGACAAGGATGAGAAGTAATGTATATAAAAGTTCCTGAGGCATCAAAGTACTCAAATATAATATAAATAACAATATGCTTTTAATCATTTTTATTGTTTTTACTCCTAATTATTTTTGCTCTCAGTAGTGGTACAATAATAATAGAGGCTAAGTATTTTTTGGAAATATTTACAAGAGAATTCAAACGTCAGGTGCTTGATGGGACCAGATCAGTATCCCCAGTCCCATTAATGCTTCTGATAGGTAAACCATCTAACTTCCCTTCTGCAGAGTTGCAAATTATTGAAGGACAGAGAAAGGGAAGAAGAGACTATACAATAAAAATATAAGGGAAGGTGCAAAACGTTGAAGGAACAAATGAGAACCATATCAATATTCATAAAACCCTCAGGTGAGCTTTTGTTCTATCTATTCCCAAGGTTCCATGAATCTGTGATAAGAAGTTATTGAGAAAATTCCAGGAAATTTATTTTTACTTTTCTTTTTACCTCAAAAGTTATTATTTATTTCTACTTGGGTAAGTTCTAGAGTTATCCAACATCATGAGATCTGTCCAACCAATCAAATAGAAGACGTTAGATTTCAGATAGACAGATGGCTTAGGATACAACTACTTTTAAGAGATTATTTATGTTAATTTATGCATTAGTCTTTTCCAAGGGTACACTCAAAATATCGGAGTATTACACGCAAGCTAAAATGAGATTTAAGAAAGTAAAGGCAGGGGCAGATAAGGTAAAATAAAGGAAAATCATGAATATGCATGTTTGAAATAAATTCATCTTAAGCCTCTAAGCCTGGGTTGGAGAGGAAGCATTGCTTTTGTGACTTCCTTAAGAGCTGAGCAGATAAGATGAGACTACATTGCCTAACAAGAGGGACAGTGTTTTGGTCATTAAAAGAGCTAATTAGGTTGTTTCATAACCTAACTATATTCTTAAAGAACAAGCATGAACACAATCCGGTTTAGACAATATCAAAGTGCAGTTACATATCCTATTTGTAGTATGCCTAGAATAGATTCCACGATGAATCCTTGAAAATCACTGATGTTTGAGCTGTAATAGAATGGCAACTCTTCTCACAAGTTCTCTCAGAGTTCATAGTCATGTTAGGGATGCCTCACAGAGTAATTGAAGTAAATATCAGAAGTTTACCCAGAACACCGACTCTAGTTAATTTTCTTTCCCAAAAAGCGTACATACAGATGGCTTGTTTTCTTTGAGAAATCGAGCTTGAGGCAGAGTGAGATAAACTAATAAGCAGCTAAATCTCTTATTTCATTGATCCATTTCTTTCAATAATTACATCTTATCTTCAAAAGTACACAAAACAACATATGGAGTGCTCAAAATCAATAATGCTAAGGATATGAAAATAAACAGTTTGAGCTGACTTTTGTGTTTTGATGAGAGGCAAAAACTTTATTAAAGGGTAGCACTGGTGGGAATGGGATATTAGATATTAACAATACCACCATTCTTAGTCAAGTGTCTCAATATATTAGATAAAAAAGATTACATCTTATTTATAAGCATTCTCTCTCTATATATAAATACACGCACATATACTTGTACATATATGTGTGTATATATACATATACAAATGTGTATTTTTGCATATATTTACACAAAAATGCATCCAAATGTGTGTATTTAAAAATAAACTTTAGTTTTTCTCCTCATATGAGCTACATCATTTTCCTGTTACATAGAATTAATAACCTGAACTAGAGTCCTATCTCTGGGACTTTTCTAACCTTTCTTACACTTCACTACTCTGAAAGTAAGGAATTTACATCACCCTGAATTTGGATTCTGAAATTAATAGTTAAGAATTAATCATAAAGAGAATAAAATATCTTGAACGTGTTTCCAAAGCTGCATAGACATACTGAAGCTACTTAAATACAATATTAGTGAGAGGAAAAAGGAACCAAATGTATCTGTTTAACAATGAATGGTTGACACATCTTTTGGCTTTATGTTAAACCTAATGCATTGTGTCCTGATATCAAGATAAGAAGTTGGTAGATTCTTTCAAGAAAAAAGGGAGGGAAAAATAGATTTACTGCAACCAAATGTGTCTTATGAGATCGCAAATTAAAGAGACAGGCAAAAAAGGGTTGAGTAGTTAAGGACGTGAGATGCTCCTGGTGATGAGATTGGAGGCATTATAATGAGCACACATGGTATTTTGGGAAAGTGATGCAGGTAAATAAACACAGTTATCCTAGGCTCCTAATATGATGGGGAAATTCACAATGTCTGTATAAAGGTTGAGTACCCAAGACCATTACAACCTTTATACACAACTGCTGCATTCAAATATGCACCCAATACATCTTCTTTGTTTCTCTATTTTTGTCTCCATCCTAGAGGCTAGTGATAAAGAAGTGAACAAATCAAATTTATTTTTATCCTCACTAAGCATACATTTTTAGTAGTAAAAGAGAAAAAACTGAAATAAAGTGTCAAACTATGTTATTGTAAATCTAGCTAAATATTAAAAAGTGGAAAACACAGGAATGATGTAAATGATGACAATAAGATCTAGGTGGGATGGTTGGCAATGGTGTCTCTCAAAGGGAAGCAGGTATGATTCTCAATGAACTGTGGGGAAGAGCTGGCCATTGAAACAGCAGAAGGACAAGCATTCTAAGTAAAAAGATGGGAAGTGCACAGGTCCTGAAGCAGTAAAGAGTTTAGCCTGCATAGTGCATGTTGCAAGTGCCCTGCCCAGGTCTCCTTCATATGCTGGAACATTCATTTTCTAGCTCCTGTGATATTTGCTGACAATACACAGTTGCTTCCTTCTCTGCATAATTGTCCTTGGCCAAAGAGGAGACCCAAATGAGTACTTAGCTGACTCCATTGGAGCATCACTTGGTACATGAACAAGTCCAGCAAGCGTATCTGATCAGAACATGGTAACCAGCACCTCAGACTCCTCAGGGATGAGGGTCTAGATCTGCAGAAGTTCCAGCCTAGGAGGATTGAGGTATAGAACATGTGGCAGAGGAAGATGATAGGTTTCAGTAAGAGCTGTGGGAGAATTGCAGCATGGGATTGCAATTTGTAAATTATCCCAGGTTGTGACTGACTAGAGTGCTGGAGAAGCTGTGATTGTGGGGAATGAACTTAACATGAAAAGAAGTGGATACGAGCAGTACAAAAATTCTCCTGTGGAACGCACGCTTATATTTCCCCAATCCCCTTTCCTTGACTGGTGCAGCCTCACCCACTAAAGATGCTGTAAGTGTTGACTGCTAGCAGCTCATAACTGTTTATTTAAGGAATAGTACAAAAAATGGAATCAACAAATGGAATCAACCTGACCTGGTAAGTATCAGTCTTCCCTCACCTAAGAGCAAAGACATAGTCTATGACTAACTGAATTCAAGAGGCTGGCCCCATTATCTCAAGGTAGAAATAACTCTGTGGTGTAATTTGTGCCCAGAATTTTTGTGGAATTATTAAGAAGGTAGTCTTCATCTGAGACCAAATTACTGCTTAATTCTTTCAATCTGATCTATCTACTTTTCTCATATTTTTCCCCTTTAAGCACGCCTTAACATGTATGTCATATCTTTTCCCCTGTAAGCACACCCTAACACATTTCTTTATCATGAAAACTCATTGTAACTTCTGTTTCAGGAAAGCGACTGAAGACAGAGTGTTCCAAGAACCAAGAGAATGAATGTGGCTGATGTGTGGAGAGAAGAGATGGACCAAGATGAGACTGGAAAGGTAAACTAAGGAAATGAGATAATCCCTTTAAATTTCATTTTGTAAGCAAACAGAAATATTGAAAGGATTTTTGATGACAGAGGAGAAGGCAGAGTGCATTTTGTAATATTAAACACACACACACACATACACACACACACACCACACACACACACATTACTTGTTTCTTTCTGCAGAGAATTGATCTGAGTTTGACGAGTAAGCAAAGTCCAGACAAAAATGTGGTTAAAAGAACCAGAAAACAAATAAAAGTCTGAGGTTCCATCTTTGATTGATGCCTGTGTTTGAGTTTCACCTTACTACCTCTTTGGAAGGGGCATAGTAGAATCATAACTGCTAAAGTTTTGTAATGATGCTCACACCAAGTCTCTTCCTGCAAAATGTTAGAAAACACTTGGGATAAGACAGAGTGATTTCAATAAAAAATGATATTGCTTCCACTAACATTAAATGTTAAGGTGAAAAGGGTCCATAGTGATGGATCATTATTTCAAAAAGGAAAAAAATAATATGAAAAGGAATAGTGGTTCCTCTTGATGTATAGTATGCCTGTATTATGGTTTTATAAAATTGTGAACTTGTGTAATAATATAATAGGAGATACTGTTGAATTTCTAACTGTTTATACATTTAAATTCATATATGTTATGTTCATTTTATCAATCACAATCTGAATTTCTAAGAAGCACGTTGACTTTTGCAATAAAGATGCAATATGGAATGGCTCACAATTGGAAAAAAAAAGAAAAGAAAAAAGATAACAGTGTTACAAATGTAAAAGAATTTGGAAAGTTTATGAACCATTCCAAAAGTTATAACAATCACCAAAAAAAAAAAAGTGACCAATATCATCATTTTTTCCCTTTTCCATGCAGAAGAGCCAAACCTATATCAAACCATCTTTATGAAGATTATCTTAAGCCGGTGCAGCAAATTGTATTACATATTCTCCACGTTGATTAATTCATTCACTTACGCATTCACTAGTTTAATATTTCTTGAACATTTACATGCCCAACAACCTACTCTAAGTTCTGAGATACGTTACAGAAGACAACAATAACAAAAATTTTCTCCTCATGGAGTTTATAGTCTAGCATACACCCTTCTATTAGATCACTATTCATTTGATTTAGTAATCATATGGATTTTGCATAGAATAAAGCATTTGTTTTCTTCTGCGATGACTTGGGTATTCAATAAAGATAAAGGTTGTTTGAGACACCTCTGCTTTTTCAGTGTCAAGCACAATGAACACAGATATATAAATGCATAATAGATATGTGTTAATGATGGTTCAGGGGGACCACTGAAGGTTAATAATATGTTATTATCTGGTTTATTTGCAATTATAATATAGTTTCTTTCTCTTTTGCTCAAAATGATTTAGTATTGTAGAACTTTCACACTACAAACTTCTCAAAAGCAATAAACCATCATGGAAGAAATATAGACACAGAAAGAGACGGATTTTCTGGAGCAGATTTATGAATGCATTGGAGATAATCCTATTGCTTTGTAGTTTAAGCAGCAATAAATGGGTGTTAGGATTGATTAAATGCTTGCAGTTTACTTCAATGTTTAATTTGCTTTGAACTGTTTATGGAAAGAATAGGTAAAAGGAACAGAAATATCTCTATCCCAAAGAATTTATTTTTCCACAAGGTATATTGGAGGTGACATATTGTACCTGCAAATGTTTTGAATTAGATGAGTTATGTTTGCAAATTAAAAAGCAGGAAGTGGACTGCAATCATAGGGAATGCAAGTTTCAGAATTAGATTGCCTGGTTTTAATTTGGTCAGACTGTCTTTTGAATACATGGTCTTAGATGATTTACTTAAATTCTCTGCTATTCTATTATATAATCTGTAAAATTATTGAAAAATTCATAAAACAAAGTTAAGTGTATATATATGTCTGTGTGTATAAGTGTGTGTATGTGTGTGTTTGTGTGTGTATATATATATATATATAAATGAGTTAAGACATACACAACTTATTCTTAGCATAGAGTCTGACATATAGCAAGTAATCAATGCATATCAATGGGCATAATTACTATTAAATATAGAATTAACTGAGTTATTACACTGTAGTAGGTTTTGTCCTCTGTCCTTTACTGGATCAACAAATTATATCTTCCACAATTCCATGCAGGCATTACCTTCTTTCTCCCATTATATGTGAGGCCTAGAGACATAAGTCACAGGCACAGACAGTTCGTGTGTTGCAGAATGGACTTGAGCCCATGAAATTTGTTTCCAAAGTCCGTGCACATAGATACTATGAAGCAGCTGCATCAGAACAGGTATTGGAGGAATGCATGAGTGAGTGAAGGCAAGAATGAATGCATGATGGATGAACTCATAAGACAGCAAATATTTGGAGCATTTTCTTAGTGACAAACAGAAGTAATCTCTAAATAAATTAATCACTTGATTTTTTGTTTGTGAACTCATTCCTGTCTCTTTAAAAGCATTTAAATGCACTACTGAGGTAATGCCTTTAAAAATAAAATTTTCTTCTGACCAACGTGCATAATAAAAGGAACATTCTAATGTACACGATAATACATATTTGAAACTTTGAAAACATTTGCAACATTTAATAAATCTGCTACTAGAAAATTCCTAAAGGTGATAAGAAATATACATAAACAAATTCAGAATCACCAATAATTTTCCTCTCAAAAGAAAAATGATTAAATACCTATTTTCTATAATCAAATTTAATTATCAAATTACCTTACTGTGCATTTGGCATATTGGTAAAATAAACATAAAACTAATTATTTTAATAAGTAACTAATTAATTATCCTGTTATGATATAGATGATATTTTTCCTGTTCTTTCTCTGTTTTGTTTTCTTTTTCATGCCCAATCTAGATTATCAATGTATTTAAAAATCAATTGCCAGGGCTTCCCATAATGATCCTTGCTTTGTGTATCCTTGCATCATTACTAATTTAGTTACTGTTCTTTTATAACATATTTTAGTTCATGAGAAGAATAAAATGAGAACATAATCATTTAGTAACTAAATTGTGGTATAAAGTGATCAGTAGAATTTAATAACAAAAATAAAATGAATAATTTCTAGAAATAAGATCTTCAAATCATTATTTTGAATGTCTATTTTTTTTTAAATCTAGACTAGTGTGTTAGACACAATCTGGTTTGAATAAAAATATAGAGGTACTTCATCTTAGGACTTCTGAGGACATGTATGATGCTACCAAATCTTGTTCTTTATTGGGCAATAGATTATGATATATTTGTTCATAAAATTATTCATATATTCCCCTAGTACATCTCTGGGGATTAGGTTTCTATAGATAAACATTGGAAATCCCAGCTATTGCAGTGAATAACCATGTATCGTCTCATACACAGAGCAACAACTTTAGAACCATTATTGTCTGTTCCTAAAATATAAGGATTATGCAAATAGTAGCTAGGTTTTCATTCTAAAATATCTCTAAATGGCTTCTAAACTCTAGTTCATTTTCTTTGGAAACCCACAAAAGACGTATTTAAAGAAACCATCTGCTTTGTTTGCCCTTTTTGAATACTAGCTATTTTAGTCTGTGCCGCTAAAACAAAATATCACAAACAAGGTAATTGACAAAAAACAGAATTGATTTTCTCACAGTTCTGGAGTCTGGGAAGTCCAAGAACAAGGTACCAGAAGGTTTGTCTGTCTGGTGAGGACTGCTGACTGCTTCCAGGACTGGTTCCTTGTTGTTGCATTTTCTGGAGGGGAGGAACACTGTGTCCTCACATGGCAGAAGGTAGAAGGGCAAGTGAGCTGAACATCACATGAAGCCTCTTTTAAAAGGACCTTAAATCCATTCATGAAGAGGCAGCCCTTATGGCTTAATCATCCCTTCAAGGCTCCTTGTCTTAATACTTTCTTATTGACAACACCTGAATTTTACGGGGGCCACAATGAAACCATAGCACCAGTCATGCTTAGAAATGATATACTCTATTAGGGTGATTTTGTCCTCTATAATTATACATGGGAAAGGGGAGTCCCTTTCTTGCACAAAGCGCACATGTGCACAGAGAATTACTTTCTACTGACTATGTCATCTGGTTTAGTATTAAACATGTTAATGTAATAGGGACCTCTGTTTTATGAATCATTGAATCTTACTCAGCTATAGTATTGCATATTAGTCTCAAATAAGTAGAACAGAAATGAGTATTTCTTCTATGGCTATAGAAACAAAGGTAATCTGAAACTAGTATTTGTCATTTCACCTTTATTTTGTAAGCATTACCATCTCTTTATTATTATTTTCATTGTGCCCAGCCACCGGGAACATCAGCTCCTCCTGGAGTGCCTACAAAGGCTGAGCCGTGGAGGGCAGCACACAGCTGTAGTGATGAGACATGGTATCTTAGTCTGTTTTGTGTTGCCCTAAAGGAATACCTAAGGCTGGATAATTTATGAAGAAAAGATTTATTTGGCTCATGGTTCTGCAGATTATCGTTTCACTTGCACTAAATATTCCCAGAAAGGCAAAGAATTGGCATGATTTCTCAGAATGAACTGTAGACAGGTAAAAAGCCCACAAAATTCGATTTTGTTTTATTTTGTGATCTCAATTAAGAACTCCTGAGATCCACTCTTTTAGCAAATTTCAAATATACAATAGAGTATTATTAACTATACTCAGCATGCTGTACATTAGATCTCCAGAACTTGTTCATATTGTACTGAAAGTTTGTACACTTTGACCATTTCCCCATTATTCCCTACCCTTCAGCCTCTGGTAACCATCATTCAACTCTCTTGGTTTCTATGAGTTCAGACTTTCTAGATATCATGAGGTATTTGTCTTTCTTTGTCTGGCTTGTTTCACTTAGCACAGTCTTCCAGGTTCATCCATGTTTTCATAAATGGCAGAATATCCTTCTATTTAAAAGGTGAATAATATTCCATTATACGTATATATCACATTTCTTTTTCATTCATCTATTATTAGACATTTTGGTCGTTTCTATATGTTGCCTATGGTGAATAATGCTTCAATGAATACAGGAGTGCAGAACTCTCTTTAAAATAATAATATAATTTACTTTGGACATATTTCCAGAAGTGGAATTGCTGGAACATAGAGTAGTCTATTTTTAAATTTTTGAGAAACTTCTGTATTGTTTTCTATGAGGACTGTACCAATTTACATTCCTGTCAACAGTAAAAAGGTTATTTTTCTCCACATCCTTATGATAGCTTTAGATTTTTATAATAGCTTTCCTAATATGTATTAAGTCATATCTCACAGTGGTTTTCATTTGCAATTCCCTGATGATTAGAGATATTGAGCTACCCTTTTACACAGATGTTGGCCACTTTTATGTCTTCTTTGAAAAAATGTTATTCAGGTCCTTTGCTTTTTATTATTTACTGTTATTTGTTATTTACTATTTGTTATTTATTTATTTTTTGATATTATTTATTTATTTACTATTGACTTATATGAATTCCATATATATTTTGGATACTAACCCCTTATCCGATATATGGTATGCAAATATCTTCTCCTATTCCATATATTTCTTTTCAGTTTGTTGATTGAGTCCTTTGTCATGCAGAATCTTTTTAATTTGATGAAGTCCTACTTACTTAGCTTGCTTTTGTTGCTTGTGCTTTTGGTGTCATATTAAAAAACTACATATTTGCCAAGACTAATGTGAAGAAATTTTGCTCTATGTTTTCTTCTAGCAGTTTTATGGTTTCAAGTGTTATTTTTGTCTTCAATCCATTTTGAGTTTTTTAAAAATATGTGGTATAATCTGTCTCCAGTTGCATTCTTCTGCATAAGGATATCAAAGTTTTCAAACACTATGTATTGAAGAGGTTATTCTTTCCCCATTTTGTATTTTCAGTGACTTTATTGAATATTCATTGACCATACATGTTTAAGTTTGTTTCTGGTTTCTCTATTGTGTTCCCTCGGTCTACATATTTGTGCCAGTACCATACTGTTTTAGTTACTGTAAGTCGTAATATAATTTGAAATAAGGAAGTGTGATGCCTCCAACTTTGTTCTTTTTCCTGAAAATTACTCTGGGTATTTGGAGCGTTTTATGGTTCCATATGAATTTTAGATTATTTTTTTCAATTTTTGTGAAAAATATAATTTGGATTCTGATAGAAATTGCATTGGCTCTGTAGATAGTTTTGAGTAGTATGAATATTTTTAAAATATTCTTCCAATCTAGAAATATTGCATATCTTCCTATTTACATGTTTCTTTTTCAGCTTTTTTCATAGCGTTTAATGGATTTTAGTGTACAGATCTTTAACACCCTTGGTTCAATTTATTCTAATTATTTTACTATTTTTGATGCTATTGTAAATGGCATTGTTTTCTTAATTTCTTTTTCAGAGAGTTTGTTGTTAGTGCATAAAAATTCAACTGGTTTTGTATGTTGATTTTTATCTTGCAATTTTATTGAATTTGTTCTAACAATTTTTGGTGGGCTTTTTAGGGTTTTCTTTTTCTTTTTTTAATTTTTTTTTTTTTTGAGTTCACCCAGGCTGGAGTGCAATGGTGCAATCCCAGGTCACTGCCACCTCCGCCTCCCAGGTTCAAGCGATTCTCCTGCCTCAGCCTCCTGAGTAGCTGGGATTACAGGCACCCGCCATCACGCCAAGCTAATTTTTGTATTTTGAGTAGAGACAGGGTTTCACCGTGTTGGCCAGGCTGGTCTTAAATTCCTTATTTCAGGTGATCCGCCTGCCTTGGCAATTTATGTTTTTGTTTGTTTGTTTGTTTTTTCAATTTAGACATTTTAACTTATTTTTCTTGTCTGGTTGCTTTGCCCAGGACTTCCAGTACTATGTTGACTAAAACTATGAGGGCACTATAATTCAACATAATGCTGCAAATCCTGGCCACAGCAATTAGGCAAGAGAGAAATAAAGGGCATTCAAATGGAAAGGAAAAAGTCAAAGTAGGCTTGTTCACAAACAAACATAATCTTAGAAAAACCTAAAGACTCTACCAAAATACTGATAAATAAATTCAGTAAAGTTTCTGGACACAAAATCAACATACAAAAATCAATGTCATTAATATACACCAACAGCAAATAATCTGAAAAAGAAACCAATAAATCAGTTTAAACAAATAAGTAAAACAGCTGTATAAGGAAAACTATAAAACACTGATGAAAGAAATTGAAGAGAACATACAAAAAAAATGAAAAGATATTCCATGTTTGTGGATTGGAAGAATTATTGTTACCATGACAATACCACCCAAAGTAATGTACAGGTTCAATATGGTTTTTATCAAAATACCGATGAAAATATTTCTTCACAAAAATAAAAAAGTTCTAAAATTTATATGGAACCACAAGAGATTCCAGATAGTCAAAGCAATCCTGAGGAAAAAAGAAAAAACTTGGAGACATCATACTACCTGACTAATATGCTATAAAGCTATAATAACCAAATCAGCATGCTGCTGGCATAAAACAAATCATAGCCCAATGGAACACAATGAAAAACCCAAACAGAAATCTATGCATTTACAGATGCCACACTTTTGACAAAGGTGCCAAGAACATACAACACGGAAAGGACAGTTTTTTCAATAAATGGTGCTAGGAAAACTGGATATCCATATGCAGAGGACTGAAAGTAGACCTCTGTCTCTCACCATATTCAAAAATCAAAGCAAATTGGATTAAAGACTTAAATATAAGACCTTAAGCTATAAACTTATAAAACTTATAGCTTAAGGAGCTCAAACAACTTAATAGCAAAATGAAAACCAAAACCACAATGAGATATTATCTCACTTTAGTTTAAATGGCTTTTTCAAAAAATCAAAAGTCAGAGAATAATGGTTGCTGGTGAGGATGTGGGGAAAGGGCAACCCTCATACACTGTTGGTGGGAACAAATTAGTACAGCCACTATGGAAAACAGCATGGAGTTTCCTCCTTAAAAACTTAAAAATTGAGCTATTAATACTATATAATCCAGCAATTCCACCACTGGGTACATATCCAATAGAAAGAAAATAAACATATCAAAGATATGAATATATCAAATTATCAAAATACCGATGAAAATATTTCCTCACAGAAATAAAAAACGTTCTAAAATTCATATAAAACCACAAGAGATCCCAAATGGTCAAAGCAATCCTGATGACAAACAACAAAGAAGCAAACAAACTAAAAAACTGGAAACATTACACTACCTGACTTCAGAATATGCTACAAAGCTATAATAACCAAATCAGCACGGTACTGGCATGAAACAGACACATAGCCCAATGGAATAAAATAAAGAACTAAGACATAAATCTATGCATTTACAGCCACTATATTTTGACAAACGTTGTACAGATAAATATATAAATATATCTTCTCTCCCATGTTTGTGAAGCATTTACAGCAACATTGTTAATTGGAGGTCATTATGTTAAGCAAAATAAGCCAAGCACAGAAAGAAAAAATTGTGTATTCTTACTTTTATGTGACGGGGGGGCCCAAAAAGTGGATTTCATGAAGATAGACTGTAGATTGGTGGTTACTAGAGGCAGGGAAGTGTAGGAGAGAGGGAAGGATAAAGAGAGGCTGATTAATGGGTGCAAAAATACAGTTAGAAGAGAGAAAACCTAGTGATTGATAGATTAGTAGGGTGACTATAGCTTATGATTAGTAGGGTGACTATAGCTTACAATCACCTGTTGTACACTTCAAATAGCTGAAAGAGAATAATTTGCATGTTTCTAGCATAAAGATTAAACAAATACTAAGTTTATGGATATTCCAATTATCCTGGTATCAAATTATCACATGTATACTTAAAAATATGAATATCTCATATATTAATTGAAAAAAAGAGTGGGCATCCTTGTCTTGCATGTGATCTTAGAGGAATGCTTTCAGCTTTTCACAATTGGTATGCTAGCTGTGGGCTGTATACGTAGCCTTAATCGAGTCACATTATTTCTATAACTAATTTGTTGAGAGTTTTTGTTTTGAAAGTGTGTTGGATTTTGTCAGATGTTTTACTGCATCTATTGAGATTATTGTATACATTTTTTCCTTTATTCTGCTAATGTGATATATCACATTTATTGATTTGCATATTTTGAAACATCCTTGCATTCCAAAGATAAATCCCACTTGAACATGGTGTTAATCCTTTTCATGTATTGTTGAATTTGGTTTGCTAATATTTTGTTGAGGATTTTTACATTCAAGTTCATCAAGATTATTGGCCTGCAATTTTCTTTTTTTCGAGTATTCTTGCCTGACTTTGGTAGTAGGGTAATGCTGGCCTCATGAAGTGTATTTAGAAGTTTTCCATCTCTTCATTTTTTGGGAGAGTTTTAGAAGGATTGCTATTAATTCTTCTTTAATTTTTTGGTAGAATTTATAAGTGAAGGAGGATATTTGTTTACTAATTTAATCTTCTGACTTGCTATTTGTATAGTCTATTTTTTCCTGATTCAGTCATGGATGTTTGCATATTTCTAAAACTTTATCATATTTTTTCTAATTGCTTAATTTCTTGGCATATATTTTTATAGTAGTCTCTTAGGGAGTTTTATGTTTTTGTAATATGAATTGTATTTCATTTTTCATTTATTTGAGTCTTTTTCCTTTCTGCTATTTAGACTAGTTAAAAGTTTATCAATTATATTTATTTTCAAAAAACAAACTCAGTTTTATTTATCTTTTCTATTTTTTTTCTAATTTCTATTTCATTTATTACTGCTCTGATCTTTATTTCCTTTTACGGTTTTCAAAGCTTTGGATTTTGTTCTTTTTTTCTGGTTCTCTTAAGTTTAAAGTTATGTTGTCTATATAAAATCAGTGTTGGCATTTATCACTATAAACTTTCCTCTTAGAAATGCTTTTGGTACATTTATACCTTTTGGTATATTGTGTTTTTATTTTCATTTGTCTGAAGATATTTATTTCTGTTACCTTCTTGACCCTATTGTCATGTGTGTTGTTTATTGTTCTTATAGTTGTACATTTTCCAATTTTCTTCCTGTTATTGATTTCTAGTTTCATGCCATTGTGGTTGAAAGGGAACTTGATATAATTTCAATCTTCTTAAATTTATTAAGTCTTGTTTTGTGGCCTGACATATGATCTATTCTGGAGAATTTTCTGTAGGCAGTTGCAAAGAATGTGTATTCTGCTGCTTTTAGATGGAATGTTCTGAATATGGCTGTGAGTTCTACTTGGTCTAAAGTGTAATTCAAATCTATGGTTACTTAATTGATTTTCTGCCTAGTTGATCTATTCATTGCTGAGCATGGTGTATTGAAATATCTCACTGTTATTGTATTGCTTTCTGTTTCTTCCTTTATTTTATATTTATATAACTATATATTAATTATATATATATATATATATATAGTTAAGTTCTTTGATGTTGAGTGCATATATTTACAACTGATATATCCTCTTAATGAATGGGCTCATTTATCACTTTATAATGATCTTCTTTGCCTCTTGTTTTTATTATAAATTTTTTTTCTGATATAGAAATAGCTACTCTTGCTCTCTTTTGATTTCCATTTACATGGGATATTTTTTTTTCACCCTGTTGCTTTCAGTCTGTGTGTGTCTTTAAAGCTAAATTGAGAATCCTGTAAGGCAACCTATTGTTGGATTTTATTTTTTAACTATTAACTCATTCTATATCTTTTGACTGGAGAATTTAGTCCATTTACATTTATGGTAATTATTGATAGGTAAGGACTTTTTATTACCATTTTATTAATTGTTTTCTGACTGTTTTATAGTTTTTCTTTGTTTTCTTCTTTTGTGATTTGATGACTTTTTGAAGGTGTACACTTTAATAAACTTTTTCTCTTTTTCTTTTGTATATTTACTATAGGTTTTTCCTTTGTGGTTACCATGAAACTCATATAAAAAACTCAATGATTTTTTTCCCTAAACTACACGTTTCCCTGGAAATCCTGTCCCCGTGTACTGCAGAGAATTGCTGTCCTGGATTCCCCTTCTTTGTGCTGAGTGTGTCCTGGGACTGTGGATCATATCAGAAGTGCTAAGTGCTTCTGCCTGTCCCTCTCTCCCAGGACCCATGGCCTGCCCCACTGGCGGGTAGGGCAGTGGCTGTAGGGAGGAGGGCTGTGGCCCTGGACCTGTCCTCTGACCATTGGCTTCCTCTCCAGGAGGCTGTGAAGCCCGTGCTGTGGCACTCGCCCCACCCCCTGGGGCCCCCTCAGGTCCTGTTCTTACAACAATGTAACTTCAACTGTATACAAAAATAAACTTTTACTTCCCTCCTTGCACATTTTTATTTTGATATCACCATCTACTTATTTTTATATTGTGTATCCATTAACAGATGTGTGTAGCTGTATTTACTTAATACTTTTGCCTTTTAACCTATATCCTAGAGTTAAATGTGATTTGTACATCATCATTATAGTATTCTAAATTTGAGTATATACTTAACTTTAGTTAGTAACATATACTGTTATATGTTTTTATATTACTAATTAATGCTCTTTTGTTTCATCTAGAAAATTATCTTTAGAATTTCCTATAAGGCAGATATATTGGTGATAAATTTCATTAACTTTTTTTAATCTGGAAAAGTCTTTATCTGTCCTTCATTTCTGACGAACATCTCGTATTTTTTTTCAGCACTTTGAATATATCATTCCACCATCCCCTGATACGTAAGGTTTCTGTTAAGAAGTCTGCTGATGGTCTAATACAAATGTTATTGTACTTGAGACACCTCTTCTTTGCTTTAAAAATATGTCTTTGTTTTTTATTTTGTCAGTTTGATTAGAGTGTGTCTTGCTGAAGTCTTCTTTGGGTTGAACTTGTATGAGGATCGTTTAGCCTTATGCATTTGGATATCCATATCTCGCCAAGATTTGGAAGTTTTCAGCCATTATTTATATTTGATAAGCTTTCTTCTCTTTTCTCTCTCTTTTCCATCTAAGATTCTCATAATTCATACATTAATTATCTTGATATAGTCCCATAAATTATGTAAGCATTCTTTAACCCTTTTAATTCTTTTGTTTCCTCCTCTGACTGAATAATTTAAAATGACTCAACTTTGAGTTCACAGGTTCTTGCTTCTGCTGGATCAAGGTTGCTGTTGAAACTCACTGCATTCTTCATTTTATTCATCATATTGTTCAGCTTGTTGAGTTTCCTTAAAGCAATTATTTTGCATTATTTTTCAGCTAATTAATATATCTCCATTTGTTTGGAATTGACTACCGAAAAATTATTGTGTTCTTTTGGTTACATCATATTTTATTATTTTTCCACGTCCCTTAAACTTTTTTTGTTGCTATTTTTATATCTTAAGAAGCATTAAAATCCTCCAGTCTTTACTAACTTGATTTGTGAGAGAAATGCCTTCATCAGTCAGCCCAGCTTGAGATTCTGAGGCTCTCCCAGACCTGTTTGGTGGTTATGGCTCTTCCAGAACTGCTTTTGTTCCCTCCTGAGGTGGGAGAAGTCTAAGAATATGTATATATTTTGTTAATCTGATAAAGCCAGACTGGGTGCTGACAGCCTTTCATTTGTTTTCTTTAAGACAGTGACCTGAAATTCTATAGTTTGTGTGCCTTCTGCTAGTCCCATAGAGTTGAGCTGGCTAACTGCATGTGCTTGTAAGCCATCTGCAAAGGCTCACATTTGTCACTTAGATGGTACCTAGGTAGAGCTGGCCATGGATGGGGAAGGGTACAGAGCTATGGAAGCCTCCTTTGGCCAGTTGGGGCTTTCTACAAGTGAGGTGTCCCAGGTGGCTTGAAAACAGGTGTCCTGGTGGAGAGCATAAAGTGTTCCATAAGATATTCAGTCCTTTGTTGACTGTCCTTCTCAGCCCTGTAAGTCGCCATCTTTCTTCCCTGTTCTCAAACTCTCACAGCCACGTAGCCATGCTGATTCCCTCAGTTATCTACGTGGGGTTGGAAAGAGGTGGGTCTCTTGTGTAGCATCCTGTATAGCTAGAGAAGTCAGACACTCATTCAGTACATTTTCACTTTCTCTTGTGGGAGGAATTGTGGACCCAAAATTGGCTTTTTTGGGACTGAGCTGTGACACTTTGGGAAGGGGTGATGTGGATAAGGCAAAATTGATTTTCTTACTCTTTTCAGTGACTCTATTCTCAGATTTTTTGCTTCATGGTGTGCTGGAAGTTCTCTGTTGGACCTCTGTAGTCCTTCAAAGGTACTCTTACCTGTGGGTGGTTGGCAAAATTGTTGCACTGTGCGAAGATGATGGTAGAAAACTCCTATTGTGCAATTTTGTTGATGTCATTCTTTGTAAGTTAAATTTCTCACCTATTAACCATCTTTGGGGAATCACTGAGGTACATTATTAGGTCTTTTGAATTGGGAAAAGGGTACATTTTAAGATCTACATATCATCCAGGGAAGATTTGAGCATTGGTTATTTATAGGGTAATATTACAGTTACTTAGGAAAGAAATCCCTTGTTCCTAGAAACAACATTAGCTGAACCAAGTATAAGTTATGGAAGACTAACGTTACTTCCTTTCTGAAGCAACTTTTTGTTATTGAAAAATAGTGGGCCAGGGGTGGTGGCTTATGCCGGTAATCCTAGCATTTTGGGAGGCTGACGGGGGAGGATAACTTGAGACTAGGAGTTTAAAACCAGCCTGGGCAACAAAACAAAACCCTGTCTCTATAAAAAATAAAATGATTAGCTAGACATGATGGCATGCACCTATAGGCTCAGATAATTGGGAGGCTGAGGCAGTAGGACCATTAGTGCCCAGGCGTTCAAGGCTGCAGTGAGCTACGATCACACCACTGCACTCCAGCCTGGGAGGCAGAGCAAGATCCTCTAAAAAAAATAAAATAAAAAAGAAAGGATGGGGAATGAGACATGTGACCTTTGTTTAATATTATTTATACTAGATACCAAGTAAAACACTATACTTTTATAATATTGTCTCATTGAGTTCTTATAATGAACCATTTCATAAATTATCATTATAAAATCAAATATGAGGAAATTTAGTGCGGATGAACTAAGTGATTTTTTTCTTATGTAATTCAGCTCACAGTGTAGCACAAGAGTTCAAGCACCCAGGTTTTAAATGAATATGAATGTCTTCTTCATAAGAGCTAGCCAGTTTTCTGTAGTTATTCTTTCCAACATTGAAAAATTATTATTCTTGCTCTCCCTGAAAGATCAATATGATTCAGAATTCAGGACTGAGAGAAAAGCAGCACCATGACAACACCAGTGCCATAATTTTGAGAGGTCTGTGACTTCACAAAGTCACAGACTTTGTGATAATTAGCTAGATGTTTACTTACAAATGCAAACACATGCACACATTTTTAAAGGTATTTCACTTAGACAATAGGCATGTTTTAAGGAATCAACAAGACTAATCAAGATGTTCCTCATGAATGAATTGGATCAAAACACTTTAAAGAGTCTATAAAATTAGTTCACACTTCAAGTAATATCTATTATAAGGATAATGGTAGTTACTATTTAACAGTATTAAATGCCTCATATGTATCACCAAATTTAACCTCATAATATCCCAGTGTGATAAGTTATTTCGTCATTATTTTTCCTACTATCCAGGAAAGGAGATTGCCCTTCATGAGGTATAGAGTCAACGTTCCAGTCTTAGTAGTATGATTCTAGAAACCATGCTCTTATCCTCTATCATACATCTCAACATTTGAATCATTTATATAACTTTTCAGAAACTTTGGTAATTACTTTTAGATGTGTTTTAAGTTGCATCAACTCAGACTTTTCTTTCTACATTTTGTTCCTAAAGCATTTTATAAATATCAAGGTTATAGAAAGGCTTTTTTAATTTTATAGAGTTTGTTCAGGGACCCACTGCAAAACATCAGTGTTAAGTTCTGTTCTGCCTAGTTTCTATGCCATATGGCATCATTCTTCTTTCAATATATGTTAGTGTTAAAAGAATATATTTTTTCCTTCAGTTTGCACAGTACCTTTTATAGAAATGGCATAAACATTACTTTTTCTTAAGAATATCACTTAAATGATTAAATGATTTTACAAGGGAACAAAAGGACACTTTAAATTTCCCTGGAGCTTTCAAGTCCCTTTAATAAAACACTGAATCCATTTTTTTTTCCTTGAAATTCTTTCCCAGTGGTATGTAGCTATTTATTTATTTATTTACTTTTATCAGGGAATTAGCATTTGTTATCTCAGCAGCCAGGCCTTTCTTCAGATAGTCTTATTAATAGTTTATTATTTGAGTCTTTTGGTGTCTTGTATTCAAGAGTCTTTATTTGGACACTGTGTAGATGTCAGAACAAATTATTTTCGTAGATTATAGTCCTTTAATATTTTTAAAATCATATGTACATATTTAGATTAAATTTAATTTTTAAAATTTTATTGAGTTAAAACTCATCTACCATGCAATTTATCCATTAAACATGTACATCATTTTTAATTTTCATATAAATTTTAAGTTGATCTTGTCAGTTTCTTCAAATGATATTCAAAGTTTGTATCTATCACTAAAATCAATTGTAGAAAATTTTAATTACTCCAGTAGAAAACCTTGCACTCTTTAGTAATCATTACCCAAGCTCCCTTCCCCTCAGTCCAAGGCAACCATTAATCCACTTTCTGTCTCTGTAGATTTGCTTACTCTTAAAATGTCATGTAATGGAATCATACAATATGGGGTTCTTTGTTATTGACATCTGCCACGCAGCATGTTTTAAGGATTTATCCATGCTATAGCATGTATCAGTATTTTGTTTTTATTGCAGAATAATACTACATTATATGGACATACCAATTTTTTTCTGTCCTTTCATTGGTTGGTAGATATTTTTTGTTTTCATTTCTGATTACTAAGAGTATTCTTGCTCTTAACATCAAAAACAAATTTTTGCGTGGATGTGTGTTTTTTTCTTAGCTGTATTTCTAAGAGTGGCATTACTGGATCATATGGTATTTCTGTTTAACTGTTTAAGGAATGGCCAAATAGTTTTCCAAAGCAACTGCATCATTTTACATCATTAGTGTATGAAGGTCCCAATTTGTTCGCATTTTTGTCAGCACTTGTTTCTGTCTTTTTAAACTCTAGCCATCCTCATGGGTGAATGTGGTAGATGTTTGTGGTTTTAACTTGCATTTATCTCGTGACTAATGATATGGAATATCGTTTAATAAGTGCTTATTGGCCACTCATATATCTTCTTTGGAGAGATGTTTACTCAGGTATTTTGCTCACTGAAAAAACTGCATTAAATTCTGTCCGTTTATTATTTAGTTGTAATAGTTATTTATATATTCTAGATACCAGCCCCTTATGAGTTAAGGAGATACAATTGTTTTTCCATTCATAAGTTATATTTTTACTTCTTAATATCTTTTGATGTACAAAGATACTAATTTTGATGATGATTATTTTCTTTTGCCTTTCATGCTTTTAGTGTCTTATATGACAATTTATAATCTACGATAGCTTTAGCTCTTACATTTAGGTATTTGATCTATTTTGCATTAATTTTTATATATGGTTTAAAGAAAATGTCCAACTTTATTTTTTGCATGTAGATATCAAGTTCTCCCAGAAATACTTATTGGAAAGATGATTTTCTTCTCATTGAATTGTTAGGCAGCCGTCGCAAATGTCAATTTACTGTAAATGTAAGGATTTATTTCTGGACTCTCAACTTTATTTCATTGATTTATATATATACCCTTGGGCCAGTACCACACTCTCTTGATTACTGTAGCTTTCTTTAAAGTTTTAAAAATGGGAAGTATGGATTTAAAATTTTTTTCTCCTTTATTTCAAGTTTGGTTTGTGGATTTGGGCTTTTTTAATTTTCATAGAAATTTTAAGTTGATCTTGTCAATTTCTTCAAATGTATATGGGCTTTTGATAGATACTGTGTTGAATCTGTCGATCAATTTGGAGTGTATTGTCATCTTAACTATACTAGCATCCTGATCCATAGCATAGTGTATTACTTCATTTATAGGTTTACTTTTATTTATTTCTACAATTTTTACATTTTCAGATTATAAGTTTTATAAATTTTTGATAATTTATTCTTAGGGTTTTAAAAATATTGTAAATTAAATTGTTTTCTTAATTTTATTTTTAGTTTGCTTATTGCTAGAAATTCAATAGAAATGCAATTGAATTTTGTATATTGATCTGTATCCTGTAATTGTGCTAGACTCATTTATTAGCTTGAATACTTTTCCTTTTATTTTAAAAGAATTTTCTATCATGCAGTATATAAGTAGGGAAAATTTTAATTCTCCTTTCCCATCTGGAAGCCTTTTATTTCCTTCTTATCTAATTGCTCTGGTTAAGCTCTCCAGTATAGTGTTGAATGGAAGGAGAGTGAAAATCCTTGTCTTCTTGATCTTAGCAGGGAAGAGTTTATACTTCCATCATTTAGTCTGATATTGGCTTTGATAGATCAGCTTCACCTTTTTTAGGGTGAAGAAATTCCCTATTATTCCTAGTTTGTTGTATGTTTATATCACGAAAAAGTGTTAAATTTTGTCACATGCTATTTCCAAATTGAGAAGATAATATATTTTTGTTCCTCATTCTATTGATATTGTCTGTTATATTAATTGATTTTGGTATGCTAAATCAACATCATATTCCTGAGATAAGTTCCAACTGGTTACACAGTTTATGTATATATATATTAGTATATATAAATATGTTAATATTTAATTAGTGTACTTTATATGTTGCTGGAATTAATTTGTTAGTATTATGCTGAGGACTTTTTGCATCTTTATTTACAAGAAATATATTGAACTATAATATTTCTTTCCCTCTTTCCCTTGTGTTATCTTTGGTTTTGGTATCAGAGTAATACTGGCTTTATGGAATAAACTGAGAAGTGTTTATTTATCTTCAATTTTTAAAAAGAGTTTCTGAATAATCGTATAAATGTATCTGTATATATATTTGGTAAAATTAACCAGTAAATTCATCTGGTCGTGGAATTTTTGTTTTCTTTGTGGAAGGGGATACATTTTTTCAGATTGTCTTTTTTCTTAAGTCAGTGTCATAGTTTTTGTCTTTCTAGGAGTTTGTTGATTTTATCGAAGTTATATAATTTGTTGACATATAGTTCAAAGTTTCACCTTATAATACTTTTTATTCTTATAAGGTCAGTAGTAATGTTCCCTTTTACTTCTGATTTTAATAATTTGAGAATCATTCTATTTTTGTTAGATCATCTATCTAAACTGTGTGCATTTTGTCAGTTTTTTTCTGAGAACTAGCTTTTGGTTTTATTATCATTATTTATTTTTTCTACTCTCGATTTCATTAGTTTTTCTTTTAATCCTATGTTTTCTTTATTTTTGCTTGCCCTACACTTAGTTTGATCTTTTTTTCTTAGTGTCTTAAGGTGGAAGGCTAAGTTGTTCATGTGAAATATTTCTTCTTTTATAATAAAGCTGTAAAACTCCCTCTGAGCACTGCTTTAGCTGCATCTCGTAAGTTTTGGGATATTGTGTCTTAATTGTTATTTATTTGCAATTATTTCTGCTTTTCTTTTTAACTATTTTTTGAGTCATTAGTTATTTAAAGATGTTTTGATCAATTTCCATATATTTGTGAATTTTTCAAATTCTTTTCTTAATTTTGAATTCAATTTTATTATGGCCAGTTAACCAAATTAGCATAATATGAATTGTTTTAAATTCTAAATCTTGTTTTATATATTAGCATATGGTCTATTCTGAAATATATTACACATGTACTTGGGAAGAATGCAAATCTGCATTTGTTAGATACAGTGTTCTATAGAGGCCTGTTCACACTAATGTGTTTATAGTATTCAAGTCCTTCATTTACTTGTTGAGCTTTGGTATTTTTTGTTCTATTAATTACTGAGAGCATCCCAATAATATTTGGTGTCCCAAATATGATTGGTAAATTGTCTGTTTCTGGTTTCATGTATTTTAGCCTCTGTTTCAGGTATTTGGGGATTCTGTTGGTCAGTGCATATATTAAAAACTGCTATAATTTTGATCCTTTGATTATCATAAAATGTCCCTCTATATGCAAGACATGATTTTTAGTTTTTAATGTCATTTTTTGATACTAGAATAGCCACTCTATTTTTCTTATGGTTGCTTTTTTCAATAATGTATTTTTCCACCATTTTCCCTTCAACCTATTAATATATTTGAATGAAAATGTCTCCTGTAGGGGCCGGGTACAGTGGCTCATGCCTGTCATCCCAGCACTTTGGGAGGCCGAGGTGGGAGGATCACTTGAGGCCAGGAGTTTGAGACCAGTCTGGCCAACATGGCGAAACTCTGTCTCTACTAAAAATACAAAAATTAGCTATGTGTGGTGGCACGCACCTGTAATCCCAGCCACTCTGGAGGCTGAGGCCCGAGATCGCTTGAACCCAGGAGGTGGAGGTTGCAGTGAGCTGAGATAGCGCCACTACACTCCAGCCTGGGCGACAGAGCAAGACTGTGTCTCAAAAAATAGTGTCTCCTATAAACGGTATAGAATTAGACATTAATTTTTTATCCAGTTTGTGGCTCTCTGCCTTTAATTTAAGTATTTAATCCGTTCACATTTAAAATCTGTATCAATATGTCTGAATTTACTTTTGCAATTTTTATCTTTATATAGCTAATATTATTTTTGTTTCTCAATTTTTAAAATTATTTACTTTGAAGTGATTATTTTTCTAGTATATTTATATTCTTTTAATGTTTTAAATTTATTTTTTATTGTTGTTTTCTTAGTAATTATCCTAGGGCTTATTTTATGTGTGTGCGTGTGCATGTGTGTGTGTGTGTGTGTGTGTATATACACACTTATCAGAATCCATTTCAAGTTTATGCTAACTTAATTCCAGTGAGATATAGAATTATTGCTCCTGTGTAGATCTATTTTTCCTCTAGCTTTGTGTTATTATGATTACATATATTACCTGTACATATGTTACAAACTCAGTGGCATTGTTATAAGTATTGCTTATAGGGGGATCTATTACATAAGCTGAGATAAGAAAAGGGAGCAGGAACGTATGTGCAAAGTTTGTTTTATTTGTATTCTTATTTACTATTTATTTAGTCTCTTCATTTGTGCCTTTGAGTTTAGGTTGCCCTCTGTGTCATTTTCTTACTCCAGTACAACTCTGCTTCCTCTCACATTCTTTGCGCCATTGTTGTCAAATGCATTATATTTCTATATGTTATAGCCTCAACAATAATTATATGATTTTATACATATTGCTTATAAAATTGCTTTTTAAACCCGTTAAGCTAAAACGTAATAAAATGTAAATTCATACTTTTTAATAATTATATAATTGTATTCTTGCTCTTCATTTTTTTGGTGCAGATTTATATTTCTGTCAGTATTTACTTGTGTTAAGTATGAAATACTTATTTTAGTATTTTTATTTTTTTGTAAGTCAGGTTGGCTAGCAATGAATTCCTTTGAGCTTGTTTTGCTTTTTTTTTTTTTTTTAATCTGGGAATGTATTTATTTCACTTTTATTTTTGAAAGACTGCTTTGCTAGATATAGGATTTTTGGTTTACATTTTTTCCTCTAGTTCTTTGACTGTCCCGTACCAGCATATTGTGCATTCCACTGTTTCTAATGAAAAGTTAGACATAGTCTTTTATTTCTTTTTTATTTTTATTTTTATTTCAATAGCTTTTTTTGGTACAAGTGGTTTTCTATTACATGGATAAATTATGTAGTGGTGAATTCTGAGATGTTAGTGCATTCATCACCCATTAGAGTACATTTGTACCTAATATGCAGTTTTTTTTAATCTGAGATACCTTCCCACCCTCCCCCTTCTGAGTCTCTCAAGTCTATTATGTCACTCTGTGTGCCTTTGCATACTCACAGATTAGCTCATACATAGAGTAATAACATACAGTTTTTAGTTTTCCATTCCTGTGTTACCTCACTTAGAATAGTGGCCTCCAGCTTCATTCAAGTTGCTGCAAAAGACATTATTTTGTTCCTTTCAATGGCTGAGTAGCATTTCATGTGTGTATATACCACATTTTCTGTATCCACTCATGAGTTGATAGGAATTTAGGTTGGTTCCACATCTTTGTAATTGTGAATTTTGTTGCTATAAACATAGATGTGCAAGTGTCTTTTTCATATAATGACTTATTTTGCTTTGGGTAGATATTCAGCAGTGGGATTGCTGGATCAAATGGTAGATCTACTTTTAGCTTTTTAAGGAATCTCCATACTGTTTTCCATAGAGGTTGTACTAATTTACATTTCCACCAGCAGTGTATAAGTGTTCCCTTGTCCCCACATTCACACCAAAATCTATTGTTTTTTGACTTTTTAATAATGGCCATTCTTGCAGGAGTAAGGTAGTATCTCGTTGTGGTTTTAATTTGCATTTCCCTGATGATTGGTGATGTTGAGCATTTTTTCATAATTTTTTGGCCACTTGTGTGTCATCTTTTGAGAAATGTCTATTCATGTCATTTGCCCTCTTTATAATGATGTTATTTTTTTTTCTTGATGATTTGTGGAGTTTCTTGTAGATTCTGGATAGCAGTTCTTTGTCAGATACATAGTTTGCAAATATTTTCTCTCATTCTGTGGATTGTCTGTTTACTCTGTTGATTATTTCTTTTGCAGACATGTTTTAGTTTAATTAGGTCCCATTTATTTTTGTTTTTGTTGAATTTGCTTTTGGGGTCTTAGTCACTAATTCTTTGCTTAGGCTGATATCTGTAGAAGTGTTCTGATGTTGTCTTCTAGAATTTTTATAGTTTCAGGTCTTATATTTAAGTCTTTGATTTATCTTGAGTTGATTTTTATGTAAGATGAGAGATGGGAATCCAGCTTCATTCTTCTATATGTGGCCTGCTAGTTTTCCCAGCACCATATATTAAATAGGGTATCTATTCCCTAATTTATGTTTTTGTATGCTTTGTTGAATATCAGTTGGTTATACGTATTCAGCTTTATTTCTGAGTTCTCTATTTTGTTTTATTGGTCTATTTTGTTTTGGTAACTATAACCTTGCGGTATAATTTGAAATTCCAGTAATGTGATGCATCCAGATTTGTTGTTTTTGCTTAGTATTGCTTTGGCTATCCTGGCTCTCTTTTGGTTCCATATGAATTTAGGATTCTTTTTTCTAATTCTGTGAAAAATAATGTTGGTATGTTGATGGGAATTGCACTGAATCCGTAGATTGCTTTGGGCAGTATGGTCATTTCACAATATCGTTTCTTATCATCCATGAGCATGGGGTACATTTCCATGTTTGTGTCATTTGTGATTTCTTTCAGCATTGTTTTGTAGTCCTCGTAGTGATCTTTCACTTTCTTGGTTAAGTATATTCTTTTATATTTATTTATTTATTTATTTATTTATTTAGAGACGGAGTTTCGCTCAGTCGTCCAGGCTGGAATGCAGTGGCGTGATATCCGCTCACTGCAAGCTCCGCCTCCCAGGTTCACGCCATTCTCCCACCTCAGCCTCCCGAGTAGCTGGGACTACAGGCGCCTACCACCACGCCCAGCTAATTTTTTTGTATTTTTAGTAGAGATGGAGTTTCACCATGTTAGCCAGGATGGTCTCGATCTGCTGATCTTGTGATCCGCCCGTCTCGGCCTCCCAAAGTATTGGGATTATAGGCCTGAGCCACCACGCCCGGCCAAGGTTACGTATCTTCTTATATATTGTGTTTTATTCTTATTTTGAAGCTGTTGTAAAAGTGATTGAGTTCTTGATTTGATTCTTAGCTTGGTCGTTGTTGGTGTTTAGCAGTGCTACAGATTTGTGTACACTGATTTTGTAAACTGAGACTTTACTGAATTTGTTTATCAAATCTAAGAACCTTTTAAAGCAGTCTAGGATTTTCTAGGTATAGAATCATATAATCTGCAAACAGTGACAATTTGACTTCTTTTTTCCAACTTAGATGCCCTTATTTCTTTCTTTTGCCTAATTGCCCTGGCTAGTACTTCCAGAATTATGTTGAATTGGATGGTGAAAGTGGGCATCCTTATCTTATTCCTATTCTCAGAGGGAAAGTTTTCAACTTTACTGTATTCAGTATGATGTCGGCTGTGGGTTTGTCATATGGAGCTTTAATCATTTTAAAATAAGTCCCTTCTGTGCCTAGTTTGGTGAGAGTTTTTATTGTAAAGGGATGCTGGATTTTGTCAAATGCTTTTTCTGCATCAATTGAGATAATCTTATGGTTTTTGTTTAATTCTGTTTATGCAATGTATCACATTTATTGACTTGTGTATGTTAATTCATATCTGTATTTCTGGGATTAAACTCACTTCATCATGATGAATTATCTTTTTGATGTACTTTTGATTCAGTTAGCTAGTATTTTATTGAGGATTTTTGTGTCTTATGTTCATCAGGAAAATTGGTCTGTAGTTTTTTTGTTGTTGTTGTGGTTGTTGTGTCTTTTTCTGCTTTTGGTATCAGGGTGATACTAGCTTCATAGAATGATTCAAGGGGGATTTCTTTTTTCTCAATCTTTTGGAGTAGTTTCAGTAGTATTGGTGCCAATTCTTTGAATGTTTGGTAGAATGCAGCAGTGAATTCATTTGGTCCTAGGCTTTTTTTTTTGTTGGCAATTTTTAAATTCCTATTTCAATCTTGCTGCTTGTTATTGGTCTGTTCAAAGTTTCTGGTTCTTCCTTTTTTAATCTCGGAGGGTTATATGTTTCCAGGAATTTGTTCATTTTCTCCAGGTTTTCTAGTTTATGCATATAAAGGTATTCATAGTGGTCTTGAATGATCTTTTGTATTTGTAGTGTAGGTTGTAATGTCTCCAGTTTTATTTCCAATTGAGCTTATTTGAGTCTTCTCTCTTTTTTTCTTAGCTAATCTAGCTAGTGGTGCACCAATTTTGTTTATTTTTTCAAAGAACCAGCTTTTTGTTTCATTGATCTTTTGTATTTTTTGTATTTTTGAATTTCAATTTGTTATATTCTGATCGTCGTTATTTCTTTTCTTCTAGTTCTAGGTTTAGTTTGTTTTTATTTCTTCAGTTTCTTGAAGTGTGGCATTAGGTTGTCAATTTTTGCTCTTTGAGACCTTTTGATGTAGGCATTTAACACTATAAACTTTCTTCTTAGTGCTGCTTTTGCTGTTATCCAAACCTGGAGGTTTGGATAACTTGTGTCATTATTATTCAATTCAAGTAACTTTTAAATTTCTGTCTTCATTTCATTGTTAACCCAGATATCATACTAGCAGAGTATTTAATTTCCATGTATTTGTATAGTTTTGAGGGCTCCTTTTGGAGTTGATTTCTAGTTTTATTCTGCTGTAGTCTGAGAAGAGACTTGATATGATTTTGATTTTTAAAAATTTATTGAGACTTGTTTTGGGGCCTATCATATGGGCTGGTCTGTCTTGGAGAATGTTTCATGTGTTGATGAGAAGAATATATATTCTGAAGATCTTAGGTAGAATGTCCTGTAAATATCTGTTAGGTCCATTTGTTCTAGCTGTTGTTTAACCCCATTGTTTCCCTATTGATTTCCTGTCTTGAAGAACTACCTATGCAGTACTGGCTGTGGTACATTGAAGTCTCCCACTATTACTGTTTTGCTGTCTATCTCACTTCTTAGGTATAGTAATAACTGTTTTATGAATCTAGGAGCTCCAGTATTGGGTGCATATAAATTTAGGATTGTGATATCTTCTTGCTAAATTGATTCTTTTATCATTACATAATGACTATCTTTGTCATTTTAATTTTGTTGCTTTGAAGTCTGTTCTTTCTCATATAAGAATAGCTACTCTGACTTGCCTTTGGTTTCCATTTATATGAAATAACTTTTCAATCCTTTTACCTTGAGTTTATATGAATCCTTCTGTGCTAGGTGAGTCTCCTGAAAAGAGCAGATATTTGGATTGTAGCTTTTTATTCATTCTGCCATTCTGTATCTTTTAAGTGTAGCATTTAGGCCATTTACATTCAATGTTAATATTGAGATGTAAGGTTCTGTTCTCTTCATCATGTTAATTGCTACCTAGTTTTTTGTTATTATTGTTGCATTATTATTTTATAGGCCCTGTAAGTTTTGAGCTTTCAAGAGGTTCTATTTTGGTTCACATCAGCCTTTTTTTCAATGTTTAGAACTCCTTCTGGTATTTCTTGTTGTGATGGTTTGGTAATGACAAATTTTCTCAGCATTAGTTTGTCTGAAAATGAATTTATTTCTCCTTCCTTTTTAAAACTTGGTTTTGCTGGGTGTAAAATTCTTGGCTGATAGTTGTTCTGTTTAAGACGCTTGAAGATAAAACTCCAATCCCTTTCAGCTTGTAAGGTGTCTGCTGGGTTGTCTGCTGGGAAGTCTGCTGTTAATCTGATAGGCTTTCCTTTGTAGGTTACCTGATGATTTTGTCTTACTGCTTTTAGAATTTTTTTCTTCATATTGACTTTAAATAGCCTGATAGTTATATGCCTTGGGTGAAGATCTTTTTGCAGTGAATTTCCCAGGAAATGTGTGAGCTTCTTGGATTTGGATATCTACATCTCTAGCCAATTAGAGATTAGTACCTCAAGTAAGTTTTCCAGACTCACATTGTCTTCGCCCTCAGGAACACCAATTATTCTTAGTTTTGGCCATTTTACTTAATCTCATATTTCTTGGAGACTTTATTTCTTTGATTCATTTTTCTTTATTTTTGTCTGATTTAGTTAATTCAAAAGCCTTGTCTTCAACTATGAATTTTTTTTTTAACTTCTTCTAGTCTATTGTTAAAACTAGGCAGTAGTCTTATTGAAAGTGTCCCTTATATATGATGAGTCAGTATTTTTGTTTTGTTGTTGTTTGGTTTTTGCAGCTTTTAATAGTTTCTCCTTTTCTTTAAATTTCAGCATTTTTACTCAGGATCTCTTTGCACTTATACTACTTAGAGTTAGTTGAGTGTCTTGAATGTGTAGATTTATATTTTTCAGCAATTTGGGGAAGTCTTCACTGGTCATTTCTTCAATTTATTTTTTCTGTTATTTTTCTTCTCTTCTTTTTCTGGTGCTTCCATTATGCATACATTGGTGTGCGTAAAGTGCCCTACATTCCTCTGAGACTGATGCTTTTTCTTTATGCTAAAATCTCTGTTATTGAGATTGCATAATATCTATTAATCTATCTTTTAGTTCACTGATTCGTTCTTTTGCCGGTTCAGATTTTCTGTAGTACCCCTTTATTTTGGTTATTGTTCATTTCATCTACAGAATTAACATTTGTTTCATTCTATAATTTATATATCTTCATTGATATTCTCTATTTAATGAGACATTGTCTTCTTACTTCCTTTATGTCTTTAAGCTTCATTTCCTTTAGTTCTGTGAACATATTTATAATGGCTAAGTTGAAGTCTTTGTTAAACCTGAAATCTTGTCCCTCTCATTGGCAGTTTCTGTTTCCTACTTTTATTCCTGTGTATTGGTCACAGCTTCCTGTTTCTTGCCTATCTCATTTGTTGTTGTGGAAAGTGGACATTGTGAGTAACATTTTAGTGACTTTGGATACTGACCCCTACCACACCCCCAGGTTTGGTTTTGTTGTTTGTGTTCACTTAATTTGTGTGTGTGTGTGTGTGTGTGTGTGTGTGTATGTGTGTTTGTAAATTTGGTTAACTATTTTAGTGATGATTTTTTCTTCTGTAGTCTGAAGCTTTTGGTGTCACTTTTTACAGGGTGCCATCTTAGGTATGTGTGTCATACTTGTGTGACAGTCTTTCCTTTGCTATACCTTTCCCTAATTTCTCTATTAAGCTGCCAACTTCATTTGGTATTACATCCAGACTTCTAGGCTCCAATAATTATGGGCTTATTGCTCTGTTGTTATGACAATGCTCTGGGACATAAATTGCTCAGCTGTCTTAACTAATTTAGTTCAGGCAGAGATGGGTTTTGATGGCAGTCTTTGAGGTTAGTTCTAATGCCAATAATGTTCTTCTTGGCTTTCTGTTTCCAATTTTCTCTGATGAATTAGCTAGTCTGTGGCTTCACTTGCTAGTCTTAAGTGTTATTTATTTATTATGTATTTATGCATTTATTTATTTTTTGAGATGGAGCCTCACTCTGTTGCCAGGCTGGAGTACAGTGGCACGATCTTGGCTTACTGCAACCTCCATCTCCCAGGTTCAAGCAATTCTCCTGCCTCAGCCTCTTGAGTAGCTGGGAGTACAGGTGCACACCACCATGCCCAGCTAATTTTTGTATTTATAGTAGAGATGGGGTTTCACCATCTTGGCCAGGATAGTCTCGATCTCTTAGACCTTGTGATCTGCCCGCCTCAGCCTCCCAAAGTTCTGGAACTATAGGCGTGAGCCACTGCGCCCAGCTATGTTTTTATTTTTGAGAGCACCCTTACACTTGAATTTTCCCTACCATTTGTTTCAAGTAAAGTCAGTACTCTTTAGGAGAGACCAGAGCATTTTTTTAATGGACTACATTTCCCCTTGGACAAATTCTCTGAGCCATTACTCTAGGTTCTGAGTGAGATGGTAGCTTCTGGGTGTTTTTGGCTTGTTTCTATCGGTGCACGAACTTCGTTTTAAGAACAAGATGGGACAATGATGATTGAGGCCCCAGTATTCTTACTCTAATGAACTTATAGGTAAGGACCCAATGGAGGAAAGGAGTTCCAGACCCTTTTGGTTCACTTACCAAAAATTTAGCCTCTTCAACTTAGAAGTGGAGGAGATAAGAAAGTGCAGCTGGTATTAAGGGAGGAGACCACCCCTCATATTGTCTTATGCCCAATTTCTGCCTCCAAAGAAAGAAGAAGGAAAAACTAAAAGGCAGAAACGAAATCCACAAGCAGACAGTCCGGCGCCACACCCTGTGCCTGGTAGTTAAAGATCCACCCCTGACCTAATTGGTTATTTGCGTAAGAAAAGCACTGTGAAGATCCCTGTCCTGTTCTGTTCCCTTCCGTTCTAATTACTGGTGCATGCAGCCCCCAGTCACATACCTACTGCTTCTCAATCCATCACGACTCTCTCACGTGGACCCCCTTAGTGATGTGAGCCCTTAAAAGGGACAGGAATTGCTCACTTGGGGAGCTCGGTTGTTGGAGACGTGAGTCTTGCCAAAGCTCCCGGCCGAATAAAGCCCTTCCTTCTTTAACTCTGTATATGAGGGGTTTTGTCTGCGGCTTGTCCTGCTACAGGATGGCTGTAGACAGTGTGCGCATTATCCAAACATACCAAGGACAATTTTTTGGCAACTGTCACTTTCTCAATGCAATGAGGCCCACTTTACAAATAAGGAAATTGATGCTCAGAGAAAAGGATAATACTTGCAAAAACAACAAGTTAGGAGCCAGATTTAAACTTCAATGTGCCTGTTTCCAAATTGTCTTTTTGCCATTGTTCAAAACACGATGCTGGCTGGAACATTTTGTGGTGCAAGAATATGCTAAAAACTAATGGGATGGGTGTGGTATAACTAAAGAGTACAGAAGCCAGTCAGAGTTTCCAATGGCCACACTGTGGTGGGAGGGGCAGGAAACATAAGCAAGGATAAATGTAATTCCTGTTTTGCATTATTACCCAAGGAATAATAAATATTCACAAACTGATACTGATTAACTAAATACCTAAATAAATGGAGAATAAAGAACTTCTCACTAAAAATTTCATATTGATAAATTTAAGAAATGACAATTAAAAAATCACAATAGCTTAATAAAGTTTAATTTTAACTTTTTAATTAAATTAAAATTAATAAAATCACAGTAATAAATTCTAAAGGCAAGATCCCGTGGCAACAATAAAACTAGTACAAAGGATTAGAAGCAAAATCAGTATATTTTCATAATCTCAAAATCTCTCCTCTGGAATATTTAGTAATTACAAAGGGAAAACAGTGATTTTACAGTGGTGAGTGCTGGCAGATACCACCATAATCAGTTGATCAAATTTAACATCATCAATAACACATCGATATTAAGTACTCCAATGTGATGATACATCATAGCCTCTTTCATGCTTTTTGTGACATGCACTAAATTGCAGAAAAAGAAAATATTAGACAAACACGATTGGAGTGACATGTATACCATAACTAAGCAGTGTACTTCAGAAGTGTCAAGATCATGTAAGGTAAAAAAAAGACAGAAGATATGTCATAAATTGGAGAAAAGAAGAAAGACATGGATCTTAAATGCAGTCTGGAGTCCTAAATCAGAGACTGGAACAGAATAAAGAACATTAATTTTAAAAATATTGAAATCCAAATACTTTTTTTTTTCAGTTAATAGTGTTGTGCCAAGGTTTCTTTTATAATTTTGACAATTATTTTGTGGTTATGTAAAGTTTTAACAATAGAGAAAGCTAGGAGATGGGTGTATAGGATTTCTCCTTACTCTTTTTGCAACTTTAAAATTTTCAAAATATGAAACCTTTTTTAAAAATGCATAGTGGCTCAGGTTTATATTCTTCTGTGCTACCCTATTGTCAGTAAATTTTTTATCTATTGGTTATGAGAGTATTGTAAACAATTTGACATTAGTGATGCATGTTAAATGTCACAGAAGCGCAGAGGGAAAACGGGAGTTAATTTGGATACCAATGAGCATGTGAAAATGAGCTCAAGGAAAAGTCCCATGGGGAAGCTAACTGAGCAGGACTGTGAAGAGCAGCTAGGCTTTTTACCAGTGAGAGAAGAAGAAGTTGAAGATAATAACATTGATTTATACAGCAAGGTTGAAGGTGGAGTAAACAGAGAGGAAGACAGTTGTTCCTGAGCAAGTAAGTGCATGTAAGAATCATACATAAAATAAAGCCAAAAGGTCTTGTAATCAAATCATGAAGGACTTCAAGTACCTAGAAAATGGATTGCAATGAGAAGTATAGGTAAAGGCGGCTATTTGAGGCCAACATTTTTGTAATACAAAATAATCTCTGCAGTTATAGTAATAAGCACGTATCCATAAATGCTAGTTCTCTTTGCTGAAAGTCACAGATATTCTCTGTGCTTTTAAAATGTGTCAGTCAAAATACAATAATTGTCAGTAGCTTTTTCTTCTGAGGCAATTTTTTTGTGTGTATCAATTGATTTTATATTAATGCTACCACTTTTATAAATGGGTTGGTCGTTTGTCCTGCTAATTCTTTTTGACCTTGTTTAGACATGGGGCACCAAGGCCAAATTTAGGAGGACATTGACATACTGATATTCTTTTAGGTTTTGTTTAGCTTAGTTTTTGATACTTTGTGGGTTTTTTTTTTTTCTCCATGTTTCTTTACTAACTTTTCAACTGCGTTTTCTTCTCTGTCTACATTTTTTTCTTGTTAAATCTATGATTATTTTAAATATCATCCAAGAGAAATATTGTTCTTGTCTAATAAGGAATAACCAACCTTTTTCCAATACAGCTATGTCCCCTGTTGTATGAATTGAATAGGAGAAACTGAAAAACGGCTTTTGATAAAGTAATATCCTCAAAACTTTTTTATTAGGTTGCTCCTTAGTTTATTTCAGTTTTATGATGATGATGATGATGTTTTCGTATTTATTTAGTCAGTAACTCTTTATAGATCACCTTCAGCTTTTCAGGTTCTTTAATCCTGGATGTGCAAACAGTGATCCAGCTGTCATATTCAAGACCTTTATAGTTTAATATACACCATATAGGAAAAAAATATGGATAGTCAGATTATGCCCAAGAAAATCAAAATAATGGTCTGTTCTTTCTATGACACTTTTCTACTTCTAATCCCCTTATCCTTCAACTTTATTTTTAGTATAGCTCTCACTGAGTGAATACCATCAACTAGTTTTCTGATTTCTACAAAATACATGGAAAGTCTTTTCCTACAAAGCCTTCTCAGAATTACTCTATCACATCCTAACTTCTACCAGTTCCATGCTTATTTGCATTTACATGATTCTTTCCTGTTTTCATTGTTCTTGGTATTTGCCATCTCAAGCAGAATTTCTGGATAATAAAGGTATTTTTTTTCTCTCTCTCTTCACTCCGTATCCCTAGTTCCTAACACACTGCTGGCTACTTAATGAGATGTAGTAAATGTTGATTGATTTACTATCTTAGAGAAACAATATACTCAGTTTTCTTGAAAAGTAGTTATTTAGAATATTGGTTTTTGTAGCTTTCAAAACATAGAAAATATAAATCTGAATTTCAACTACAGCAATGAGATAATGTTCTTGTTTCTGTAAAATGGAGATAGATTCTATTCCTGAGATAGTGAATCAATAAGTCATCAATTGGCTGATGGAGTAAAATTCTCTCTTTCCAAAGCATTACTGTAGCTCACAAAAATCAATGTATAATTTATAAATATGTGTAATAAATAAATTCAAGGATATTCATACAATATAGTACAGCAACAAAGACATATGAATTAGCTTTAAGTGTGTATAATCATGGCTGAGTCTTTAAAATAACAACAACTCAAGCAGAGTGGCTCACACCTGTAAATCCCAGCTACTTGAGGGGCTGAGGTAGGAGGATCACTTCAGGCCAGGAGTTCAATACCAATCTGGGCAAGATAACCAGACTATTTCAACAACAATTAAAAAAAAAAATACCCTAGATGGGTGCATGTTTCTGTAGTCCTAGCTACTTAGGAGGCTGAGTCAAGAAGATTTCTTATGACCAGGAGTTTGAGGCTAAGGTGATCTATGATTGCACCACTGCACTTCAGCCTGGGTGACAAAGTGAAACTCCTTAAAACAACAGCAACAAAACAAACATAACATTGAATGGCACAAAAAAGTACTAATAAAGTTTGATCCGAAGGACAGGATTTATATAAATTGTAGAAAAAAATCATACATTAAAATATGTACTGTATATGAGAACATGCATTTGTAAATATACAAATATAATAAAAGCTTTAAGATATTAATGGATGCACAGCAATTTATTGATATTAATTATATTTAGGGAGGAAGAAAAAAGATGAATATTCGGGGAGATGTTAACTCTTTGTAACATAATTTATTTTAAAGCAGTGAAATAAATATATAATTATATAAATAAATATATAAAATAATATCATGTGTTAAGTTATTTGAGTAGACGAACATCAGTTGTATTATTTTCTATATTCCTGGACACTTAGAATTTGAAGAAACGATATGTAGCCCTATGTATATGGTAATTAATGTAACTATGTATACATGTATGTATGCATATATGATTTAAGATAATTATATACATGCACACACACATACCCATGCACATATGTATTATATATTATATTATCTATACAATAAAAGTGTTTTAACCTGAAATTAAAGATAAATATAAGCAACACTATTGTATGGTCTCAACATTAAATAATTTAAAGTTTGTTCTTAATATACTCAGAAAAGAAAATGTACTTTCCAGCTTGGCCTCAGAATTTAAGTGGACATCATCCTTCTCATTTAACCATTTTCACATAGATATCTAAATGGCATACCTGATAATTTTTTTCTTTCGTACTTTGAGTTCATGTTTGTTTGATCAATTAATTCGTTCTTTTTCTAATGTAAGAGAGAAATATATTTCTTGGTTATATCACACCATGTATTTTCTTCCCATATGAAGATCTTTTGCTTTGATGAGAGAAGTAAGCTAGGACATTTGGGCCTTTCTGCTTTTGCATTCACTCAGAGAAGTCATACTGTCCCCAGTGGGGGAGAAAACATAGTTACTACTTTTATATCTGTATCCTATTGCCCCTGAAAAATATTACCTTTAAAAAATCTATATGAAGCTCTTCTTTGCTTATGTAATTTGTGTTCATTACAAGTAAAAGAAAATATAATTTAGAAAGCGTTATCAGGCCAAAAACAAAAGATAAAATGGCATCTAGATTTCATGAGTTAGTGCATCAGTCTGTAAAGGGATGGAAATAATATATACATATACACACATACTATTTTTTTCTTATTTATTGAGGAAAGTTTTAGAATAACTAGAAGACAATACAGAGGTCATAAGAATATATTTGAAGTATATACTTCATATTCGTGTGTCTTCTTGACACCTTTTTCAAAGATCAGTTGACCTGATCTTTGAATAATTATCTTACAAGAGAAAAAATTCTGTAAATAATGTTAATGCAAAGCAGACTCTGCTGAGTAATAAAATAACCCAAAATTCAATTGTCTTAGTCTGTTTATGCTGCATATGACATTTACTTGTTCCAAAAACATTTATTAAAGAGATTTTTCCCCACTGAATGCTCCTTGTACCCTTGACGAAAAGCTATTGCAGTAGATTTATGAATTTATTCCTAGAATCCCAATTCTATTTCATTGGTCTATATATCTATCCTAATGTCACTATTATACTGCTTGGATTACTGTGGGTATGTAGAAAGGCTGAAGTAAGTAAAGGAGTCTTCCACATTTGTTTTTTTTAACATTGTTTTGGCTATTTCAGGCAAACAGCCTGAAATGAAATTCCATATGAATTTCTAACTTGGATGTATTTTATTTTCTTTGTTTACCTTATTAGTGTGGCAAGATTTTGCAGTACAATGTTGAATAGCAGTGGGGGGGAAAACTTTTTTTATTGTTCCTGATTTTAGGGAAAATGCTTTCAGGCTTTCACCATTGAGCAACGTTTGCTGTGAGTTTTTAAGTGTCTTTTTATCATTTCGAAGAATTCTTTTCTATTGCTAGTTTTCTGAGTGTTTCTATCATAAAAAGGTATTGGTTTTTAATAAGAGCTATGCCTACATCAATTAGGATGATTATGGAGTGTGCGTGTGTGCGTGTCTGTGTGTCTGTGTGTGTGTGTGTTTTCCCTCATTTGATTAATGCAGTGCATTATCTTGATTTATTTTCTTAAGGTGAATCGTCCTTGTATTCCTTGAATAAATCCACTTGGTCACGGTGTATAATACTTCTATACACTGTTGGATGAAGTTTGCTAGTATTTTACTGAGGATTTTTGCATATCTTATTAAGATATTTTTGCCTATAATTTTATTTTCTTCTGATGTCCTTAACTGGCTTTGGTATAAGGATAAGGTTGGCCTCATAGAATGAGTTCAGAAGTTTTAACATTTATTATAAGATTTTGAAAAGATTATTGGAAATTATTCTTTAAATATTTCGTAGAATTTACCAGTGAATCAATCTGGTATTGGACTTCTCTTGGTTAGTGACCTTAAAATTATTGTTATTATTACTGATTCATTCTCTTTACTAGTTAAATCTATTCAGATACTCCATTTTTTCTTTTGTCAGTTTCAGTAATTGTGCATTCCTAGGATTTTGTCCATTTCATCTAAGGTTATATCATTTGTTGTCATAGTTTTTAATAATATTCTTTTGTAGTTTTTTTTTTCTGTTAGGTTGGTAGTAATATTCCCAACTTAATTTCTGATTTTAGTTGTTTTTTGTTTGTTTGTTTTGTGGTCAGTCTAACCAATGGCTTGTCATTTATTTTATCTTTTCAAAGAATTAACATTTTTGTTTTTTTTTAATGACAAACTTTTGATTTTGTCTTTTTATTTGATATATCTTGTTAAGTGATCACCACGATCAAGTGAGTTTACATATCCATCACCATTCATGGTTACCTCTGTGTGTGTGTGTGTGTGTGTGTGTGTGTGTGTGTGTGGTAAAAAAAATTAAGGTCTACTTTCTTAGTAAATTTCAAGTGTATAATAAGGTATTATTACTGTAGTCATCACGATGTACATTAGTCCCCCATAATTATTCATCTTACAGCTCAAAGGTTGTATCATTAACCACCATCTCCCAATAACTCCTACCCTCTCAAACTCTGATGACCACCACTCTACTCTTTGTTTCTACAGGTTCAAATTGTAGACTCCACAAGTAAGTGAGATCATATGACATGTGTCTCTCTCTGACTTATTTCACTTAGCATAATGCCCTCAATGACCATATTGTGCCCATATGACAGGATTCTCTTCTTTTTTATGGCTGGATAATATTTTGTTTTATATATGTATAAAACAGATTGTGTGTGTGTGTGTGTGTGTGTATATACACTATATATATAGTATATACACCAGATATATATACACACATATATTTGTTTATATATGTAAGTATATATACACACACATGCATTTGTATATACACACTAGATTTTCTTTATGCATTTGTCCATTGAGAGACAATTAGCTTCTTTCCACATTGTGGCTATTGTAAATTTTGCTGCAACGAATATGGAAGTGCAACTATCTCTTCAATATACTGGTTTCATTTCATTCAGATATATATTTCTGTGGTTTTAATGGGTACCCTCCAAAATTCAGTGCTTGCCAATGAGAGGGCGTTAAGAAGTGGGGTCTTTAAAAGGTAATTAAGTAATGAGAGATTCCCTCTTCCTGAATGTGATTAGGTGTCCTTATAAAAGGGCTTGAGAGAGAGGGTTCACTCCTTTCATTCTTCTGCCTTCTGCCATGTGAAGACACAAGAAGGCGGCCCTCACCAGATGCCAATACCGTGATCTTGGACTTCTCAGCCTCCAGAACTTTGAGATATACATTTCTGTTCTTTATAAATTATTCGGTCTCAGATATTATGTGATAGCCAGACAAACTAAGACATCTACTTAATAGTAGGATTTCTGGATCATACGATAGTTTTATTTTTAATACTTTGAAGAGCCTCCATATGGTTTGTATAGTGGCTATACCAAATTACATTTCCGCCAGTGGTGTAAAAGCGTTCCTTTTTCTTCATTTCCTTGCCTACACCAGTTTTTTCTTGTCTTTTTGAGAATAGCCGTTCTAACAGGTATGAAGTGATATCTAATTATGATTTTGAGTTGCATTTTCCAGATGATTAGTGATGTTGGACAACTTTTTGTGTATTTTTTGGCTGTTTCTTTTTTTCAAAAAAAGTCTATTCAGTTCCTTTGCCCATTTTAAAATTGTAATATTGTTGTTTTTGCTATTGAGTTTTACGAATTTCTTATATATTTTCGATACTGACCTCTTATCAGATACATGGTTTCCAAATATTTTTCCCATTGCATAAGTTACCATTTCATTTTAATTTGCTGGTATTTGCATTCATGGGGAACTGTGTGCTAGACTCTATGATGTGATATTACAGTTGGGCAAGGTCCCTGGCTGGATTATTTCACTGGGTAGGGCCACTGGCTATGCTTTGTGGTTTGTCAGGGTCAGTACTAATCTAGCAGGTTGGGCTGGGCAGCAAAATATGCTTTGCAACTATATGGGGTTGCTGGCTGGGCTCCCTGCCCAGGCAGGGTCATGCACCATGCTGTACAACTGAATTTATCTGTAGACTGGGTTCCACAGCTATGAAAGCTGAGGGCTGTACTCCGTGGCTGGGTAGAGGTAGGCTGGGCTGTGTGGTGGGTGAGATCACTGGCCAGATTCCATAGTTGGGTAAGGCCATAGACTATGCTCCTTATTTTGGAAGGGCTGCTGGTTTGGTTTCCTTCCCAGTCAGAGCCATACATAGGCTGGAATCTATGGCTGGGCAGGGCAACTAGCTGAGACTTAAGCCAGGCAGGGCTCTCAGTTACTGCACCCTGGCCAAACAGTGCGACTAGTTTGGCTTCAGTGGTGGGTGTAGCAACTGGCTGAATTATCTGGTTGGGTAATGCTGCCGGCAGAGAGCCAGTGCTAAGATTCACATGCAGGTCAATATTAGCTTACCCTCCTTTTTTCCTAGCTGAGCGTAGGTGGTATAGCTCTGCAAATTCCCTCAGTGCTCCCCCTAAAATAAAAAAAGAAGTGGGCCTCTCAGAAAGTGCCCCAGAATATTGGAGAAGTTTCATATCTGCCTTGGGCTCTCTTTTTTCCACTGGAGAAACTATAAGCCCAAGGCAACTCTTGGTATGGCTCTGTGCTGCCCAGGGGAGGGGTGTTATAATTAAAGTTAAAGTGCCCCTTATACCTGTCTAATGTGGCTTTTCTCAGTTTTTCTAGTCCAAGAGGGTGCATCAGTCACATCTTTAGATTCTACCTAAAATTTTCACAAAGGCCTTCTTGCCTGTGAAAAGCTGCTTGTTGGTCTGTCTGTGAAAGAAACTAAAGCTGGGAACTTCTATTCTTCCTCTTGCCAACACTCAATGAACTAACTTGGTTTTGTTAATTCTCTGATTTTTTTTCTATAATCTGTTAGATTTATCTCCATCCTATTCTTTATTTTTTTTTGCCAGCTTTGCATTTAGTTTTCCCTTCCACTCTAGTTTTTGAAGTGTAAAGTTAGCTTATTAATTTGAGATTTTTTTTAAATATAGGCATTTATTGCAATACTTTTTTTTCTGAGCACTGCCTTTGTTGCATCCCCTAAGTTTGGCTCTACTGTGTTTTTATTTCATCCGTTGTAAATATTGTGTATTTTTACTTGTGTTTTCTTCTTTCAGCCCCTGGTTGTTTCAGAGTGTTTTGTTTAATTTCCACATATTTGTGAATTTTATAGGTTTTTTTTTTTCCTGTGTTTTAATTTCTAGCTCCATTCTATTGTCAGAGAAGGTACTTGGTGTGATTTAAATATTTTTAAATGTATTGAAACTCATGTTGTGGCCCAACATATTGTCTATCTTAGAAAATGTACACTTGAGAAAAATATGTATTTTGGTGTTGTTGGATGAAGTGTCCTATACATGTTCATTAGCTCCTGTTGGCTTATGGTGTGCTTCAAGTCCTCTATTTCCTTAATGATCTCTTGTCTAGATAATCTTTTCATTATTGTAAGTGAGCTAATGAAGTCTCCAACTATAATTCTAGAATCGACCATTTCTTCTCTCAATTCTATCAGTGTTCATATATTTTGGAACTCTGTTATTCTGTACATAGGTGTTCAGAGTTGTTATGCTTGGTAATTAATATTTTTAATCATTATGTAATGTCTTTGTTGCTTTTAGCAGTTTTGACTTAATTATTTGTGTCTACTATTACAATAGGTAGGCTAGTAATCAAAAGATTACGCTTTACATTACTGTTTGCATAGAATATTTTTACCATGATTTTACTTGCAAAATTTTGTGTCTTGGGAGCCGAAGTGAAATTTTTGCAGACAGCCTACAGTTGGATCATGACTTTCTTATCCAGTTGGCCAATTTCTGCTTTTTAAATAGTTAACAAATTTATATTTAAAGTACTATTTATTAATTTTTGTATTTAATATAGGGTCTTCCTCAGTTACCAGGCTGGAATACAGTGGCATGATCTCAGCTAACTGCAGCCTCAACCTCCTGGGCTCAGGGGATCCTCACACCTTAGACTCCCTCACCCTCTTGAATAGCTGGGACTACAGGCATGTTGTGTGGCATAGTGCCTGGCTAACTTTTTATTTTTTGTAGAGACTAGGTTTCACCATGTTGCTTAGGCTTGTCTTGAACTCCTGAGCTCAAGTGATTTGCCTGCCTCGCCCTCTCAAAGTGCTGGAATTACAGGACTGAGCCACTGCATCCCTCCCTAAACCGCTTATTGATAAGAAAAGATTTATACCATTTTTCCAGTAGATTTTGATATGTCATAAGATTATTGTCCCTCATTTTCTCTATTACAGTCTCCTTTTGTGTTGAGTTGATATTTCTTAATGTAATATTTTGATTTCTCTATTTCATTTGTGTATACTTTTTTAAGATGTTTTCTTTTTTAAAGGTACTCAAATACATCAATTTTATTGTTTCTTTATACACATATTTATTTGATACTGAAAACGGCAAAAATAGTACATCGGAGTTTCCCTTTATTGCAATTCAAGTTTTGGAAACCAGAAAATCTAATTATTATGCTCTAAACAAACTACCCAATATTTTCTTCACATTCTTTTTTCACAGGTTACCTTGCTTCAGATTCTTGATGTTGAGTTTTCTCTCACTGACTTTACGCTTCTAAAATACATGAGAATACTTATGTCCTGTTGGTGCTTCTTTGGGTCAAATCAAGAAGTAGAGCTGAAGTATATTGAAGTTATTCAAATACATTCAAACTACACAGATCCCTTATACATTACTGGTATCATGGTAGGAGGAAAAAATACAAGAAGAAAAAGACATCATAGAACTCATTATCAAAATGACTGATATGTAGTCTATGCTAGCATAGAGTAGCTTTCTCAAGCTCCTCCATAAATTACCAGCAAGAAAGAAAAGTACAGGAATATGGTTTATGGCTGAATTAGCTCAGTGTCACAATTTCCTATACTAGCATTCTCAGAAGGATCCCATTTGTGATACATGCAAAACTGCAGCCACATTTGAATGATTCACTCCTTGATTCATTCTGAACTCCCTTAAGCCCAGTGTCTGTTCTCTTTTAAGCCTAGGAAGTATGCCGAGTAACAAGTATCTCAATTTTACCATTCTTTCTTTCTGCAGAGAGCCATGTTCTTACTCCTCTCCTCCTGTAAAGCAAGCCAACTATGATGTCCTGTAAGATCATTTCTCTTCTATTCTGTTGTTGGGGTAACCTTTTGAGGAAAGAAAAGGGGAATTTGGTACCAGAGTTGAGAGTCAAGTAACTAAGGTCCTTTATAAACATCTTGGAACAGAAGTTATAAGAAGCTCCTGAATAATCTTGGGAATTTTTTTCAGTGAGCATTTGTAAAGATTCTGGGATCAGGCTTGGTTTAAAATTTTGTGATGGGTTCATTGAAGGTCTAGACACAGCACTAAGCTCCTCCTGGATCTTTAGAATCCAGTGGAAACTGATGTTTAACTCTCAAACTGCTACAGGTCACCTGGAAAGAACTCTATAGCCTAGAAAGAGCCTGAAAATCCAAGCCCCCCAAAAATCTAGATGTTTTCTTAACTGTAGTGATGGGGAATACAATTAATATACTAAATTCATAAAATATCTAATTTGAATTAATGCCAACTTAGTTTCAAGTTGTATAATTTATTTCTATACAGTTTCTTTCCCCTCTTTATGTTGTCACAGATTATAATTCATGATAAAAATTATATTTATTTCTATGTATTTTAAAAAATTATGTAGGAAATAAAATGTTAAGTTACAAAGCATATTACAATATTACCAGCTTCAATTTTATCTGTGTAGTTATCTTCACCAGTGGCCTTTATTTCTTTGAATGGTTTCAAGTTATTGTCTATTATCCTTTCATTTCAACTTGGAAGACTCGCTCTAAAATATTTTGTAGGACAGTTTCACTTGTTAATAAATTTTGAAAGGTTTTATTTATCCATAAATGTCTTAAATTTCTCCTTCATTTTTAAACAATAATCTTCCTAGACATAGAATTCATGGTTGACCTGTGTGTGTGTGTGTGTATTCTTTCATAAGTTTAATATGTTATCTTTCTGCCTTCTGGCCTCCATTGTTTCTGTTAAAAAATTGACTGTTAATCTTATCAGTGGTCCCTTTTTGTGACAATTTGCCTCTTTCTTGCTGTTTTTAAGAATTTGTTCCCTTTGGCTGTTTCTTTATAATCTATCTTTCTGTGAATGATTTTACGTTTTTGTAGTTGTAGTTTGTTGAGCTTTTTATTTCTTTTTAAAGAAATGTCATTTTATTATCATATCATTATTACAGAAAATCAAAAGCTGTTGTTCTCATTATATTATTTATATTCCAAAAGCTGGACAATTTGTAGACAACGCCCAGTAAGTTTGGATTATAACTATTAGGGTCAGTGCTCTTGTTTATTGTCAATCTTCTCATTTGATTATTTAAGAAGTTCAGATTTTAACCTGGAGTGCTTATCATTCATATTCCTAAAGAGGGTTGCTTGCTCCAATACATTTGGGAAGATGATTGGTCCAAGTGTAGATTAACTAGAAAAGACTTATCTTGCCCTTCTCAATGCTGTGAAGTTTTCTGCATCTGGGTTTTGTCTCTTCCTTATTGCAATCTGAAGGAAATCTTGCTACTCCGACTAGAAAAAGTCACTGGACAGCAATAACGGAGGCAGTGAAACTTCCTATGTAAAGCTAATGAACATCTCTTAAGTCTGCAAAGCAGGAAATCACCACCTGCTTACGCATTCCATGATCCCTATTGTATAGGCTACATAAACAATTAGAGGAAAAAGTGGGGTCCAGAGCTTTTTTAGAACATACATAAACCTAGTTTGTTATCGGAACCTATATAGTATCTTGTTGAGCTTATATGTGTAGATTTATGTCTTTCATCAAATTTGAAATATTTTAGGCAACTTTTTTCCCAAATATTTTTCCTGCCTCCTTTTCTCTCTCCTTTTTCTTTTGGGACCTCCATCATGCATGTGTTGAACTTCTTGAAATTATTCCACAGGTACCTTAGACTTTTTTTCAGTTTTATTCAGTCTTATTTTCTTTCTTCTACACAGACTGAAAATTTCAACTGTCCTATTTTGAAGTTTTCTGATTATTTCTTCTGCTCGCTCAAATTTATTGTCGAATCCCTCAAATACATTTTTCATTTAAGCCATTATACTTTTGATCTCTGGCATTTCTATTTACTTATAATATTTATACTTCTATTTAATTTAAAAATATTTTTATAGATAATTTTATTTATAGATAGTGTTCTTTTATTTATGTATAATTTTAGCTCTTTGAGCATATTTAAGACAGTTAATTTTGTCTTCATTCATTAAGACCAGTGTCTGGGCTTCCTCAGATTGTTTTTGCCCATTTATTTCTTCTTATTTTTCCTCTGAATGAGCCTCACTTTTCTCTTTGTAGTCTTTACAGTATTTTTTCCATTTTAAGCAAGAAATGCAATAATGTAACTGTCCTGAACACCAGATTTTCCACCTTTGCTAGGTTTTGCTGTTATTGATATTTGAAGGTTGTGAATGTTCATTTGCTTTGTGACTTCTCTAATATTTATTAATGACTTGTTTCCTTGTGATGTGTAGTCACCGAAGTCTCTTTTCTTTAGTTTGTGTTTAACTAGTGTTTTGACACAGATTTCCTTAAATGCCTGGAGCTACAGAAATTGAATAAAGCAACAATTAAAAAAAAACACAATACTACTTCCAGGATTTATGAATTGGCATTGTGCTGAGATACATCTTTAGCACTTAGCCAGGTCATGACAAGTCTGCTTCAGCCCTCACTTGCTGCTTGCACTGAGCCAAGAGATCCACCTGTGGTGAAAGCTTAGAGTTTTCTCGACTCTTTCCTGAGCATGTGCCCTATCCTTGACATGTACGTGGCTTTGTTTCTCCGTTATATGTGGGCACTTTTTAATTCCCTGATTTTCCCCAGCAAAAAAATATATTTTCCTAGCTTTTCATCCAGCCTATAAGAAGCTTTTTTGTGTGTGCATCTCAACCATAATATTTTACTCCAGGAAACTGAGGGATTTTCATTGGCCTTATAATGTTTTCGAGCAATGCCTAATGTTTTTATGCCCTGAGTTCCAAGAAAGGAAAAACAGACACAGGCACCTTACAACTTCTTCAGGTATCTTCCAGACAGATTAGTACAAACATACACAATAATTGTCAGGTAAATCTGTTTTGTTTCTTCTGGAAACATGGATGAGGGTCCCAAACACACACACACGTTTGTATTTCCCAAATGATATGAGGAGCAAAATAAATGCAAAAAGGGGCAAACCGTAGCTGGAGATAAAGATGACAAGACTATTCAAGAGGGAATCAGAATAATGTCAACTGAGAGTTGTCTTCTGTAAAAAAAATCACACTTCCAGGACTTAATTAATTATAAACTATATGACAATGCAAATGACAGAATAATTAAAATAGTTTTTAGAAATAAAAGATTTAAAAATTTAAGCTGCCTAATTTACGAGAAGACAATGAAACAGAGGTGTGAATTCAGCAATCAACCTATACAATATGATTTATTGAATTTCAAGAAAAATTCCAGAGTAATCAAATGGAAAAATATAGCCTCTTCAATAAATGGTACTGAGATTCCTGGATATTTACGCAGAATAAAATGAACATTGATTCTTTTCTCACACCATTTATTTAAGAAAAAGAAAAAAGGTTTGCATTCTTGGGTTAAGGAAAAATTTCTTAGGTAGGACTCAAAAATCATGAACCATACAAAAGTTGGTAAATTGGTTTTAATCAAAATTAAAATATTTTGGCCTTTGAAAAATACACTTAAGATATGAAAAGACAAGTTATAGATTAGAAGAAATTATTTAGTAAATATATATATGGCAAAAGAATTTGATCCAGAAAATATAAGGAACTCTTATGACTCAGTAAGAAGACTAACAACACATTAAGATAAATGAAGAAATGTTTGAATACGTACTTTACAAAAGAAAATATACAGAGTCCAATAAGCATACAAAAAGATGCTCAATATTTTTAGTCATTAGGAAAATCTAAATTACTACCACTATGAGATATGGCTACACACCTAGTAAAATAGCAACTATTTATCATATAGTGATGAGAATTTGGAAGAATTGAAATGTTCATACATTGTTGATGGGTATATGGGAGGAACTGTGTTTTTTTCAACATTCAAATGTTGAAGTCCCAACCCTCAGTACCTCAAAATGTGTATTTGGAGCCTTTAAATTGGTAACTAAATAGGGTCAAATGGATGGCTGCTAATCTTATCCAATATGACTTGTATCCTTGTAAGAAAAGGAAATTAGATGCAGATATACACACACAGGACAATGACCATATGAAGCCACAGGAAGAAGACAACTAACAACAAGTCAAGAAGACAGACAGAAAAAATCAGCCCTGCTGACACCTTGATCTTGCATTTATAGCTATCAAACTATGAGAAAATAAATCTCTTTAGTTTATGACACTCTCTCAGTGGTACTTTGTTATGCCCAAACTAGCAAACTAATACAGAGGGATTGCACAATGGCACAACCACTAACAAAAATAATTTGTCTGTTACTTAAAATGTCAAACATACACATAAGAGTAAGCCCTAGCGATGACACTTCCAGGCATTTCTAAGAAATTAAAACAATTGTTCATACACAGGCTTTTGTGTGAATGTTATATCAGTACCCATAACAGCCAAAGCACTGGGGAACAGAAGTACAAATAATCATACAAATAACCATTAACTGGTGAAAAATAAACAAAATATGATACGTCCATCCAATGGAATGCACTTAGCAAAACTACTGATACAGGCAAAGCCATAGATGAATCTCAAAATCATTATGCCAAATGAAAGTCAGGCACAAAGGAAATTCTAGAAAAAAAACAAAACTGTAACAACAGAAAACAGACTTGTGGTTCCCTGGGGCTGAGTTGGGACAGGAGGCAGGGAGTGACTAGAGAGAGGCGTAAGTGAACTTTAGAGATGATGGACATGTCCCAAATCTTGATTGTGGTGATGGCTGCAGGAATGTATACATTCACCTGAACACATCAAACTATACAGAAATAGGGCAGAATTTTATGGTACATAAATTATTCTTTAATAAAGCTATTTAATAAACTCCCAGTAGTTAAAATGTCTCCTAATAAATGTGCAGTGTGGCAAGCTACAGATGGGCAAGAAAGATATTGAAGTATATTGAACTAGTCCAGTCCAACTGCCATTTAACCACAAAAACAGTGAAAATATAACCTATGTAATTTAGAATTATGCATAATCAAATTCAAACCACGAGGGCTAAAGTGATGATGTTTGAATAAATCCAAGAATTTAAAAGTAGCTATAAGGTACACAAAGGATCAAATTATCTGGGTTCCATTTTTTGCTCTGCAACCATGACATTTTTGGAATAGCACTCTTCTTTGGAATTCTGAGTCCTTTTGGTAAAATGGGTTTATTGAACTTAGATACATTTCTATGTAACTCTAAACTTTAGGATAGTATATGAGTATTCATCTGCTGGAAATAACTGAAGAAGAATTTCTAGCATGTGAGAAATAGAGACTGGGCCTTGAATTATGGATATGATTGCAATATATGAGAACTCTGTACCTTCCACTCATTTTGCTATGAATCTAAAACTTCTCTAAAAATAAAGTCTATTAAAAATTGAAACAATATAAATTCAATTGAACCAATACAGTCATAAAAACAAATAATGACAGAGAAAAAACATATAACTAGATAACTTATTGAGCAAAATGGCAGAGTATGCAGTTCTAAGCAGACATCCTTTCACAGAAATATTGACAAACAAGCATTATTAGAACCAACTTTGTCAGAATTCTGGAAAATAATCAAAAGTTTAAAACAACCAAGTAAATGATGAATTAAGATAAAGATAACTTGAAAATGGTAAGAAAGTTTTGTGGCATTTTTACTTGCTTTTGCCCACCCTTTCTCATCTCAGCCACATTCTGGAAGACCACAACTTCTATTACCAGTGTGGGACCCTCATCCATGTTTCCAGAAGGAACAAAACAGATTTATATTACAATTATTGTCTATGTTTGTACTAATCTATCTGGAAGATACCATTTATTTGTTCTGATTTTTCCTCTGAATGAGCCTCACTTTTCTCTTTTCTTTGTACTCTTTATAGTATTTTAGTTAGCCAAGTTTGTATGTAACTGCAGATAAAATTGTGTGTAATTTTTGATTTTGAAAAAGTACTGCATGGAGAGATGCTAAAAGTACAAAATTACATTGTTTACCCTTACAGACATACAGGGAACAAATATTTGACTATCCTCCCCAAATTATTGCCTTACTTCACCTCTTTTTGTGGTGTGACTGTAGGTATGGCTATCTAATATAATGGTGGGGAAGACTTCACTATCCCACCAATGATGTCCCTTATTCCCCACCTAAGGGCTCTTGCCTTGTTCAATCACAATTATTCAAGAAAGTTATTTTTTTCCGTGAACTTAGTAAATGATTCTCCTAAAATTAGATCCCACACAGGACACTTCCTAGAGAGAAGACTCCAGACTGGTTTTGATATATTATTTACTTCAAATTTCTCTCCCCCAGTGCCTTTGAATTCTAGTCCTTTGTAACTATTTTCTTCTACAAATTTTAACCTTCAGCTCCGCAGACAATTAGAAACATTAAACTGACTCTTTCTTTCTTTTCCTGCTCTTGCCAAGTAAATTCCAATGTATAACATCATGCATTCATTCATCTCCACGCAGAGTTTAGTTATCACAGAAAAACATATGGAACTTGAAGCTTTGGAGAATCACTCTCTTATTATTTCAGAATATTTGAAAGCAGACAGAAAAATAAACACAGCTTTGGTGAAGCAGTCACCACAGAAACAATTGCTGCTTTCATTTATCTATTTTTATAGGGTGTATTTTAGTTTTATTCAAAGATACATATATTTATTGTGGGACCTGGGTGTGCATTTATTTTCACAGATGGTATAAGAAAATTTTCCTTCTATCCTGCTGCTAGTCACTAGATGACAAAAATGTGCCCATATTTAATGATTTAAATAGAAAATAATGAAAGCTGAGCTCTCAGTGTTTTTTCACAAATTAATAAATCTCTTTACATATAACAGTCTCCTTCTGGGAAATGTTTGGGTTTGTGTGAAGGTTTTAACTTATGAGAGAGTTCACACTAAGACAAAATAATTTTAGTAAGGAAGAAATAGATCCTGTAATTGGATGAAATGTGTGGGGGAGATAATTTCATTTCAAGAGTTAGTTATTTTAGCTCTTTTTGGGAGGTAAGGTAGGTTTGGGAAGATATCCAATTGGATTCACTTGATTCAGTAATATCTAACTCTGTATTAGCCTATCTTCTCTCCTCCTCATACAATCCCTGGGAAAGATACATGAAAGAAAATATGAAATCAAGGTACTAATTTATGATTAGTTGAGCATCTGCCTCACACCCTCATCCAGAGCTCTGGTAAACTGAGCTGGAGGATATGCCTTATTATCTAACAAAATAATACTTGCCAAAAGGATATAAACCCCACACCCCAATTTGGGGCTTGTTCATCCTAAGCTTAAATTTGAAACTTTGTATGTTAGCAGCTTGTTGTTTATTTACACCAGGAGCAGAAGACAAAAACCAGGAGAATAACACGGTATAAAGTAGAAAAGACCCTGTCCCATGGAGGGCATGTCCTTGTTTTTAGTGAGCATTCAACCACACTGATGGAAGAAGAGCAAGACCCACTGATAAACGTGGCCCAGCCAGGACTCTGCAAAGAAACCCAATCAGTTACTCTTGAAGCATAAAAGAGTAAGCAGAGAGGCCGGGCGCGGTGGCTCACGCCTGTAATCCCAGTACTTTGGGAGGCCGAGGCGGGCGGATCACGAGGTCAGGAGATGGAGACCATCCTGGCCAACACGGGTAAACCCTGTTTCTACTAAAAATACAAAAAATTAGCCGGGCGTGGTGGCAGGCGCCTGTAGTCCCAGCTACTTAGGAGGCTGAGGCAGGAGAATGGCGTGAACCTGGGAGGCGGAGCTTGCAGTGAGCCGAGATCGTGCCACTTCACTCCAGCCTGGGCGACAGTGAGACTCCGCCTCAAAAAAAAAAAAAAAAAGTAAGCAGAGAGAGAGCACACTTCTCACCCTCCTTCTTTGAGTTCTCAAAATGTAAAATATACTAAAGATTTAAGCACTTTTTTTTTTTAGAGGAAACAATTTTTTTTTTTTTTTTTAAGGTGGAGTCTTGCTCTGTCACCCAAGCTGGAGTGCAGTGACACCATCTTGGTTCACTGCAACCTCCAACTCCCAGGTTTAAGGGTTCCTTCCACCTCAGGCTCCTAAGTAGGTGGGACCTCAGATGCACGCCACCATGCCCAGCTAATTTTTGTATTTTTAATAGAAGTGGGGTTTCACCATGTTGGCCAGACTGGTCCCTAACTTCTGACATCAAGTGATCTACCCGCTTCTGCCTCCCAAAGTGCTGGGACTATAGGCGTGAGCTATCATACCCAACCAGAAACAGGGTATTATTAAACGCTGTGTCCTTCCTAGATTCAAGTAATTATCCTATCTGGTCTATCATAGAGCAGAACTGTTGCTACGATATCCTGCAAAGTAGCGGCACAGTAGAGTAATCTGAATAAATGTTTGTGGAACAAAGCATAACCTGTTTATAGATCTGAGAGACCAAACTTAATTTCTTTCTCAGGATCTCAACCAGCCTTATACAAATATATTCTCACCACACAACTAAGGGGCCTGAACATGTGCTGAGAGACCCTCCTCACTGGGCTGAATGCCTTCAGCTAGGAGATGAATGCTGACAGTAGTTATTCTGGGAAATGATTAATTAAATTCCTTTCCTGGCAGTTCCATTAATATCAACACAACATGGCAGAGATATTGACATAGTGAGAAAACATTGCCTTCAACAATAGGGCTTTGTTGACAAAACAGTGAAATGTCTAGACCATTAGCAACAATTTAGGAATCCATCTTCTCCATCAATCTCATTTAGCTTACACATCTCTCTCTCTCTCTCTCTCTCTGTCTGTCTCACACACGTGCACGCTCACACACACACATACTCAAAATGTGCAGCAGTTAGAAAAAGTGAAATGGAATTATCATTAAATATGAATGCAGGGTGGCTTAGAAACACACTAGACCAGCTGTTTCTCTCTCTCTCTTTCTTTCCTTCTCTGTTTTTCTTTATCTCCCCTCCCTCCCTCACACACACACACATACACAAACACACACACACACACTCACACGGCAGGAGTGGACATTCAAAAGTACATTCTGATGTTGACTGATAGTATTATTTAATGTAACAACTAACAGAGAGTGATTTCACTTACTGATTGTCTATATATTCTTGTTATTTAACTAATATTGTCTCCCCTCCTCACAAAAGCTTTTAAGTGTTACTGTCCATTTTACTGCAGACCAAGCTGTAGATAAAAGAAGTTGGGTAACTTACTAGAAACCACACACCAGAAAAGAAGCAGAATTGAGATTTAACTCTGAATGTTTCTTTCTCTAAAACTTTTACCCTTTTCACATCAGAGAACTTCTCCTTTATTGTTGACCCCAGAGAAAATTGCAGTTCTCTCTTTCAGCTTCCTGCCATACCTGAGCATCTGTAAGTCTGCTAAACTGAACTCTATGATTAATGAAACATTGGCATTTAACTCCATCGGAGGTCCTGCTTAGTTGCACAGTTGTCTGTCTCCTCTGTAAAGACTGTTGGCTTTTAGAGAAGCTTTGATTCCTTATAGCTCATTCTAGTAGCAGATAATGTGTCATCACAAGTAAGTGAAATGGGTGGATATTAATGTTTTCAAAGGAACCACTGCAAAATAAATTTAGCAGCGTACAAAAATATATAGCATTGTCTATACTTAATGTACACATTTATGATACATTTTATATTCCTAATCCTGATTCTCAAAGCTTCCTAGAAATCACTATCTTTAGTACTTACAGGTCTTTCTTTCACATATTCCATTCATGAATCCAGGTTTCCCTTCCTTTTACCCATTTTCTCTTCCTTTCCTCTTTCTAAAAGCATCAATGTGCAAGTATCTAGTTTGCTCAAAACATAATGGGAAATAGAATATTATGGTGTGATGAGTGCAAAGTCAGAGGTATGGTGCAGGATATAATGAGAACACTGGAAACTTCCACTCTTTTGCGAGTTCAGGGAAGACTACTCGGACAAGGTAATTAGTGAACTGAGTTTGGAAATATAAAAATAATCAGGCAGAAGTAAATAGAATGCTAAGTATTTTATATTTCAAGAGAGAGATCAACATGTTTGAAAGATATTAATTTGAAATCAGTTTCACTTAAGCTCCAGATTCCACAAGCTCCAGATTCAAGGACTAAGACATGATGTATATGATTTCCCATAGATTTCCTCCAGCTTGTTTTTTTTTTGTCATGGATTCAAATGAGATGGGCACATATTAAATATGAAAAGGTGTACTTGAAGCCAACAGAGCTCAAGCACATGATTAGTGTTAGTTCTCATTGCTCAAGTCTGGAGAGCTTGAAAACAAACTCTGTATCACTGAAAAAATCCCAACATGGAACAAGGGTCATGTTACACCCAGTAGGAATGGCTGCCATCTGTGGACTTGGTAGATTCAGGTGTGAATATCATCTAAATCACTCACAAATTCTGAGGTCATGAGCAAATTACTTAACCTCTGTGAGCCTCAGTTTACCCACTAATAAAGTGACCAGAAATACTGGAAAGATTCAGTGAGATAATATATTTAAACTACTTGGCATAGGCCCCAGCAATTTATAATTCAATAAAACATCTATCATTACTATAATTATAATTATTACTATTGATTATTTCTGCTGTTCTCAAGACTGAGTAAAGGCCGGGAGCAGTGGGTCACTCCTGTAATCCCAGCTCTTTGGGAAGCTGAGGAGGGCAGATCATTTGAGGTCAGGAGTTCGAGACCAGCCTGACGAACATGATAAAACCCCGTCTCTACTAAAAACAAAATACAAAAATTAGCCAGGCATGGTGGGTATGCACCTGTAATCCCAGCTACTTGGGAGACTGAGGTGGGATAATCACTTGAACCCAGGAGCTGGAGGTTGCAGTGAGCCGAGATAGCACCACTGCATTCCAGCCTGGGTGACATAGTGAGACTCTGTCTCAAAAATTTAAAAAGTTTAAAAAAAACCAAAAAACAAAAACAGACTGAATATTTGTAAGACTTACTTTAGGGCTTTTGTAAAAATGTGGGTGCCTGGGCCTCTACAGACTTTGATCACAATATTTGTAGGAGTCTGAACATTTCTGTTTCAAAATGTACTGTACACAATTTCTACATCAAACTAGGATACTGCTAAAGTATCCTAGTTTAAGACGTACTTGTCTTAAGTTGTAAGAATGATATTCTCTTAGGGTTCATACAGTGTATCCCAATTTTTTTCCTCAAATTATTTGTTTCCTACCTTAAACTTGATTTATAAAATGCTAATTAGCAGTTATAGATTTATAGTTCTTATTTCTGAGCATTCTATATATCAGGAAAATAGGAAGTGCTTTGCATAGATAAATCATTTTTTTAAAAAACACGATAACTCAATACATTGTTTTTCATGACCTCTGGGCTATAGCTGAGAAAAGTAAGAATCAAATATCTCAACTTAATTTCTAAGGTTATGTAGCTACTGTGTAGTGGAGGCGGAGCCAGGCTTTTTCCCACTGTTCCGTGTTGCCCTTTGGTGTTATAAATGGATGTGATTACTGCTAATCCTAAAGACATTTTATAAGATACTTTGTGTAACTATAGCTGGTATAGTACGTAGTTTTAAAATGTCAGGAGAAAGCCCTCAAGTATCATCTGAAGTCCAGTCCAGCTGGACTATTATGAGGCAACTTAGAGCCACACTCTTGTTTAATTTCTTGTGCCCAGCACTGAGGCATCTCTTCCTAAAGCATTCCGGTACTTCTACAGTCACTTCCTTATTAAATCCATTATTTCAGCATTCTTACTTTTCTCCGTGCACTGTTCCACTCCACTGAGCTGCTTCTGTGTGGATTACAGCCACTGTTTCATTGTGACTGAAACCTAATTGACTTCCACGGTAAATATTAAAGGAAGACGGCAAACGTGACTAGTCCATTCAGTATGATATGAAATGGCTAATGCCCATGTGTAATGAGGAAAGACTCTTTTGAGCTTCAGCTCTTGCTTTATGGGGGAAAGTAGGTGAATCCTCAAGTGATTGTTGACAAGTCTGTGGCAAACGTGTGCACCAACTGAAAATTTGAAATAAAAAACCCTGTACAAAGTCGTTAAACATCAAGCCCGATGAATTATTCATGCAATGGCTTCAAAGTTGGACTTGAAAAAATGTAAATAAAATACACGGAGAAGTTTCTCCTTTCTGGAAACAATTTTATAGTAATGAACTAAATGCAAGGAGCACTTAAGGTGTCTAACTGCATTGTATATTTTATGTAAATTAAGAATATTGAACAAATTCCCCCATTTGGTACAAAGGAGAAAAAGAAAATATGCCTTTCCTGATGATCAGTGCCTCTGAGAAAATGAATTATCTTTATTTTCTCCATTATCTTTTATTGCCATTTTATATACTTTATAAAATGTCGACCTGCAAGTTATTCAAATGAAATGTGATGTAATTTTTCTGATGCACAAGCCTTTTTTATACCCTTCAGGCATGACTGTGTTGACTGTGACCTTCTCTACATCCCTGTATATGCCTCACAGCTAGACTGCTGGAATAGAATGTGGTCTAGTGATAGGCAGAATACATTATAATTTTAAAAATGTAGTCTTTGGAGTCCAAAGGTCTGGGTTCAAATCCCATCTCTGCATTTAAATGTGTTACTCTGGATATGTTCATCATAATGGCTAACTCAAAGTGTTGTACAGGGCAAGAGAGATTGAATACACATCCACCAAGTACATAGGATCACACACAATTATCAGCTAATGAAATAGGATCTGATAAAATTCTTACAGTGGCTAGGCCCATACTACTCCCCTTGAATCCACAGTATTAGTTTTTACCCAAAGCCTAATATTTATAAGCCACATGTTTTTGTACACCATTTAAGAAAAGACAGAGAAACTCATTTGGAAAATGGATGTGATTGGTCCACAAAAGAACACCATTCCAACTTCTATTGAAAGTCAACATGTACCCGAGACTATGTCAAATGCCAAGTTCTCAATGAAGATACTCTGATAGAGCTTAGGAGTACAAACAGTGGAGTCTATAATAAAGTTTCCACTGCCAACAGCAAAATGAAAGTTATGCATGAATATATATGCATAATTTTTAAAAGACACTTCTAAATACAAGTGTTTTAATCTAAGTTCCCTAAAATCAGAGCCTCATATGAAAGGCTTGCAAGCTGGTGGTCTGTGTGGGAAATAATCCCAGAGCACAGGAGTAAAAAAACCTAGTAATGTAACCAAGAAAGAAGGAAAACCAATAACATATGGTTTTTCGTATGTATAATGCATAATAAATATGCACTGTTGGTCATTTATTTGTGCCACTCATGCTGAGTCACAAATTCTGAGGAGGCTGGTGAAATTTCTCAGAAAACTGACTGCTCAGCACAAAAATGAATAGCATTTAGTTATGAGCTTCCATCATGCATTGGTCAAAACATCCCCAAGGCTTTCACTCCCATATACTTCTGTATCGCACCAGCATAAATCATTAGAGTTCTCTTGGGCATCCCATGTGGTGAAATCAAAGAAGTCTCTGGATAGGAAGAAAGAATTCCTTGGCATTGGTCTAAAACAAAGTTGCATTGCAGAGAAGCTAATGAAACATGCATGAATTTGGTTGCTTCAATAGTGGCCACAGTAAGAGCTTTCAAGAAGAGCGCACTTTGCAATACTCACATTGGCCTGTATCCTTCATTGACTTCAGTCTCTCCTAGAGTAGCTATCAGGAAGGCCGCTGATGTAATTTGGATACTTATGCAAATCTCATGTTGAAATGTGATTCCCCAGTACTAGAAGTGGGGCCTGATGGGAGATGTTTGGATCATGGAGGCGGTTTCCTCATGAATGGCCTGGTGCCATACTCAGGTAATGAGTGAGTTCTTGTTCTATGAATTCAACAAGAGCTGGTTGTTTAAAAGAGCCTGTCTCCTCCCACATTTTCACTTGGCCAGTCTCTCTCTTGCCATGTGACACACCTGTTCCTGCTTCACCTTCATCGTAAGTAAAAGCTCCCTGAGGCCTCACCAGAAGCTGAGCAGATGCTGGCACCATGCTTCCTGTACAGCCTGCAGAAGCATGAGCCAGTTAAACCTTTTTTCTTTATAAATTAACCAGTCTCAGGTATTCCTTTGTAGTAATGCAAAACTAATATAGCCAGGCTCTGCAAAACATTAGAGAAGGTTTGGTAGAACAAGTTGCTAACTCCACTGCTGTGGCTGATAGAGAGACAAAATTCATTATCTGTCTACTCCAGCACTTACATTTCACTCTCCTTTGCCCAGCATTTCTGCTGCTGTAGGATGTTAGTCCTAGAGCTGGGTCACCCTGACTCTTTACCCGAAAGGAGAAGTCTGAGCCCATGTTTGACTTGCTCTTGCTGTGCTGTGGTTCCTATAATTTCCTATACCTTAACATTACCAGGTACAGAAGCACCAAAAGACAACCCAGTGGCATGACTGGGGCTCATTCTAATCAGAGGCATTTACCTCTATCAGAATAGCAATACTTCTTGCCTGTTGGACCACTGACAGAATGTCAAGGTGATTAGGTGGTAGCATTGGCTTCAAATTCAGTGGAAAACATATTGTTTCTTCTGGTGGAAGTGATCCCCTCCACTCATCCCAGATCAAGAACACTAATATAGTTTTGCCTAAGGTCATGAGGATGAAAAGCGTACTTTTATGTTTTCCTTAATTGAGTCAAATAAATAAAATTAGGTCAAACTGAATAAAGGTAAAAAGAGTTGTTCCTGATTCCACAATTTGGTTCCTGAGCTTATGTATTCTATCCTCTCTGGACTATACATTAGAGCTGTTGATTCTGCAAATATCACATATAGGAGTGTGGCATCTGAATCCTTCAAGGACTTGTTCCTTAGCTGGTGCTTTGGCTAAACCTTTAATGTATTATTGCACTATTCTTTGAGGTTGTCTACTTCAAAAAAAAATTTAGAGACTGTGTATTACTGTGTTGCCAAAGCTGGAGTGCAGTGGCACAATCACAGCTCACTGCAGCCTCAAACTCTTGGGCTCAAATAATCCTTCTGCCTCAGCCTCCTGAGTACCCAGAACTGTGAATATGTGCCACCACATCTGACTAATTAATTTTTTTTTTGTAGAGATGGGGTCTCCCTTTTGTTGCCAAGGCTGGTCTCAAACTTCTGGCCTCAAGTGATTCTCCCACCTTGGCCTCCCAAAGTGCTGAGATGACAGGTACAGGCCATTAAACCCTACCAAGGTTTTCTAATTTTATGTAATGAATGAGGGTTACAGTCACAGGTTTATTTTTGCACATTTGTTGCCACAAACTTGTCTCCTAGTCTGAAGACATGCTGTGCAGAATGTCATGAAAACATTAGGAATTTGACAAGTATTTGGTTGGTAGTGCTTCCATAGGCACTGCAAACAGAAAAGGCAAACCTTTATGTAAATAATGACTGTCTTCTTCAGTGCAGATTTCCAGTAATTATCCTGTCATTACATGACTATTGGTTCATTAAAGAGAGGGTATCATCTTGAGGGATCATGTTGGGCTCTGCTGCTTGTTTTAGGCATTAAGGGCTAACAGTTATTTGGTCATACTTGTTGGGAGGGAGCCCAGGGTGTATGGTCCATTCTAGCCTTCATCCTTGCTGCTAAGGCCATTCCATTCATGGGCCCGTGCACTAACACTTGTGTGGTGAGCTGTATTCATGTCTTACCTGGATGCCTTCTCTTCAGTGGATACTCTGTGAGCATTAACACGTGACACAAATGTTTTCGAACTTTGTGCTGCCTTCTCTTTGTTCATTTGCATACCTTTCTTCCAAATTCCTTTCTCCTAATCCCAATCAGTCTTGCACCTTCTCAGTCTTTTACTCACCAGCCAACCATTCACCAGGGGCTCCCTGTATATTCTCACCCCAGGCCACTTACCTGTTTATAAAAAATTGATCACTAGCTATGCTACACGAAGCTTCACTCATTGGAAAGTTTTTCATCACTGTCCTTTGGCAACACCCCTGGGTGGCCCTTGGTAAAGTAGCAGTCCCTCTGTGGCCTGCACCAGCTAATCACACTTACCCATTTGTGAACCAGGTTTAAGTTTTTTCCTCTTCCATTAGTTGGTGATAAAAACAAAGACAAGGTTTTGGCTGGGGAGGTATGTGAGTCGAGGGAAGCACTGGTGAGACACAGGTAGTTGATGTGGAAGATGGGGCCACATCTTTGTATAATTTATGCTCACCTTCCAAATCAGTATGGTCCCAGCCTGTGTATAACATGTCCATTGCTTTCCATGGTGGACCCCTGCTGCACCTGCTCGGCCTCATGACAAGTCATGATGGGCAGCTTTGTCCATGTAGACACTTAATTTCCATCGTTTTCAGTCTCTCTCTGTCTCTACCAGGGCCCAGCATCAGGGTGGGAGCTGTTTTTCAGATTCTGAGGTGTTCTCCTCTGTCGAAGGCATGGATTTTTTCCAGATCCTAGGAATCTCATCTAAGAACCTCCTATTGGAGCTTTCCAGAGATTCCACACACCAATCTTATCCAGCCTGGATAACTCTAGCATTATTGAATGACCAGGTCATGTGGTGACACAGCCTGTAACAGTCTGGACCTGCTAGAAAGCATTCTTGATCCAGGCACTTCTCAAATCCATGAGATTCCGAGTTGCAGGGCCATGGGTGCTGAGTGAGTTTGTGCTGAATTTCTGTGCCTTATTGTCAGAGAAACCCTGAGGTGGGACACAGGAGATAGGAAACTAAGACTGCAAGGAGGTACCGCTAGCTTCTCCAGCAGAGTGGCTGCCACAGCAGTGGCTGAATAAGAAAATGGGGTCAAGGAGACAGGAAGTGGTGAGTAGTAGGTAGAATAGTGGTGTACGTTTACTATAACATGATCGTGAATACATACCTTATTCACTTTAACTGCATCCTATTTGAAATTAATACCTTTCCAACATATTAGTGGTTAAATGATCTTCTGTGTATGTTTGTTTTGAAAAAAGAAAAATACAAAATGTTGCTTGTTGTATATCAATTCTTATTCTCACATTGCAAACACACACACACATACACACAAAGCCACACACAAACATACACACATCTACAAAATTGACAGTTTAAAATGTGTATGGGGAAGGCATGCAGTTACATCAGCTGGTATGAAAGTCAAATCTCCAACTTTGTTGATTCGATGGTCTTGAATATGTTACAATACATTTCTGACCTTTAATTCCCTTATATGTAAAATCTGGATGATAAAACTTATACAGTTGACCTTCAGTATCTGCAGGTTCAACCAATTGCAGATTGAAAATATTCAAAAAGTAAAAAAAAAAGTACTACAAAAATAAAAATTAATACAATGAAAATATGTATAAACACTATTAGGTTGGTGCAAAAGTAATTGTGTTTTTTGCTACTAAAGTAACAGCAAAAACCTCAATTACTTACGCACCAACCTAAAATATATAGTATTTACATTTTTATTTGGTTTAATAAGTAATCTAGAGATTAAAGTGTATGGAAGGATATGTGTAGGTTACATGCAAATACAGCACCATTTTATATAAGGGACTTGAGCAGCTTCAGATTTTGGTATCCATGGGGGTCCCTGGAACCAATCTCTCATGGATACCAAGAGACAACTGTATTTATATTTTACTGCAAGGAATAGCTTGAAACACGCACATACACATACACAAACAACACGCACCCGAAAGTATATCAGAAAGCTCTGGGAAATCTGGAATCTGCTGAAGTGGAATGTAGAATTTTATGTACATCAGTGTACAATCATATATGATTTTTTTTGCTAGCCCTAGTTTTAATGGGAAAAAACAGAGAACCTTCAGTTTATTTTATTGCCTTTCTTTCCTTTATGATTATTATTGATTATTATGTTTTATTCTTTTTTATTTTTATTTTTGCTCATTCACCCACCTTCTATAACTTATTAAAAGATTTCCATTGGAAGGCAGCAATTCTAAATCTCATGCCTTGTTTTACCTTACCAGGGGACTTTCTGCGTATTCAGCCTTGTTTCTGACCTTTATTTATTTACTTACTTATTGCCTTCAGTTACATCTTTTGCAGATAGAATAATTGGAGTTTCAAAAGAAAAGATAAATTTTCAGTTGAAGAAAGTAAATATTAACTGTGCTTTATTTTTATGAGATGAAGGCCATCGTTGTGTCTGAACAAAGGATAAATGTTTAAGAGTATCATTTCCTTGCTTCTGAGTGTGAAATACTTCAGGAAGTCAAAGTTGACTCAAAACTTTTAAAATTCCAGGGCAGTTACAGTTTGCAAAATTATCTTTCAACTCTTCCATCTGAAACAATCATCAGATTTCCAGGAATAGTTTTCATAGGTCAGTCTTCACTTCAGCATTGTATATTGTAGATGAAAAATGTATTTTGTAGCACAATCAAAATGATAATTTTTTCAATATGCTTCTTGAAGTTGCCTTGGCCACAGAAGACAAAGCATATACAAACTGTATTGCGCCAAACCTATACTAGTCAAGAATGTATGAGGAAACAGAATTCATTCTTCTGGGCATTTATAACATTTCTTACCTGTGTAATCCTGTATATCCACATCCTTGTTGGATTTCAGTGATACCCCTGAATCTCTGAAATGGAACTATAGCATAGTAATTTAATGATTTTAACACAATATTTGACTTTGCTTTGATAATTAAAAAAAAAAATACAGTAAATAGAACAAAGAAGGTCTAGGAGTTGCTTTCAATCTTCTGTGAAAACAGCATATAGTTTATAGTTTTAACTGTATGTTAAACAACATATAGTTTCAACAGCATATAATTAGAATCCTCGGAATGTTACGGCCTTGGGCAAGACACTTGTGTAGGAGGCTCAGTTTTCTCATCTGTTAACTTAGGTCAGTGTATCTCCTTCAGATTGTATCTTGGAGGTTTGAATGACACAGTATATGTAACACAGTTAGCATAGGCCCTGATAGAAAAAAATTAAAGCCTGGCTTTTATTATCATTTAATAATGTTGTCATCAAAACAATGTATATTTATTCTGAGACAGAGTCTTGCTCTTCACCTAGGCTGGAGTTCAATGGCACGATCTCTGCTCACTGCAACCTCCACCTCCTGGGTTCAAGCGATTCTCCTGCCTCAGCCTCCTGAGTAGCTGGGATTACAGGCACCCACCACCATGCTCGGCTAATTTTTGTAGTTTTAGTAGAGATGGGATTTCACCATGTTGGTTAGGCTGGTCTCGAACTCCTGACCTCATGATCCACCCACCTCGGCCTCCCAAAGTGCTGGGATTACAGGAGTGAGCCACCGCGCCCGGCCCTATTTCTCTTTCTTAAACCAAATAAGAAAATGTTCAGAACGTATAATTGCAGCTGTAATTAGTCACTGGAAACATTGCCAAATGGGTTGCTTACAGAGAGTGCAATCAGAGTGGTGAATGAGCTAGATATTATGCCCAATGATAAAGAGTTGATGGGGCTAAGAGTATAGTCTGGACAATAGATAAGATTAAGATGAATGCAGAACTAAAATGTGTTTATGTGGAAGAAGAAGGAAATTTAAAGTGTGTGATTCCAAATGACATAATTTGGACCTATAAAAATAGTCAGTAAACTGTTTTTTGTATGAGAAGTGCTTTACCAATGCAGTTGTGTAGTAATGCAAATTATACAAAGAGCAAAGCCAGTCATTCCTTTGAGTATTTCAATACAGGTCTGCAGTAACTTCTACTTTGGGAGAATAGGTCCGTTACAAATAACTAGATCATGAGGCGGGAGGTGAAGCAATATTTCATTTCTTACCCATCAGCATACCCTCCTGGGGTCTGCTGCAAGAGACAGAATAAAAGAATTTTTGTTTGTTTTTATGTACAATTTTCTGCTTGGCAGGTGTCAAGAACAATAATGCTACATCTCAGAAGCACTGGCCATTCACTCCATCCTTCACCATGATTTGTTCTAGGTCCTGTGCTTGTCCCTGGCACAAAAAAATGAGTCAGACATGGTACTTGCTCCTGAGCACAGTCAGGAGGAAAAGATGGAACTGTAAATCCCTAATTACCACATGGTGAAATGTTTAGAGGAGGTGTAAAAAATGCCATATAATCTGAAAAGCAAAAACAGCTAGCTATGCTAGTGCTGTGGATTAATTCAAGAGAAATACTGAAGAGAAGGTGTTCTCTATACAGTGTGCCAAATAATGTATAGTGTTTCTAGCATGCCAAGGGTGGCATGAGGGCATGGCATGCTAGGTCATCTTATGCAAAGTGGACTGGCTGAGCAACAGTATAGAAACAGGAAAAAGAACTGGAGTGTTCAAGGGGCAGCAAGTAGTTTGATAGCTGTGGAACCAAGGGGCTAACTGGAGAAGCAGTGGGAGATTATTCTACAACGCAACGTTGGGTCCCCGATAGGAAATGCCTTGAAAAGCAAAACCAAACAGTTTGCACTATGCTACGTGCTTTGAAAACTTGACATTTTACCCTAGAAGTATGGCAATAGATTGGGGAGGTCAGGAAAGAAGGCTGGGGAAAGAATTTGGAGCATGTTGGAATATTGCAGGTAACAGGTGATGAGCTGGTGGCCATGGCAGCAAGCTAAGGAAACAACAGGGAATGGGACCATTGGTTATTACACCCTATTTGCTAAAAGGCAGCACTCCAAGTTTCATGGAGGGAAATAATGAACTTTGAGTGAGAAGGAATCAGTTCAAGGTCAAGCTTTACCACTCACTCACTGTGTTACCTTGGACTTGGATGGCTTCCCAGGATCCTTTGGGCTTGCACATTATCTTATTCTGTTTTTCTGATGTAGAATGTTATACTAAATAAATACTGACTGTATTTATGTCTCTGTTCCTCGAATTTAAGAAATCAATGAAAGTGTCTCTTTGGAGTACACAATATTGTATGTCATTTTGATCTTTTTTAGCATGACTAATTTAGTCCCTTCTACCAAATTCATTAAATCATGTTTGTCTTTAAAGGATACATTTTATTCTCTCTGACCCTTTCTACATGGCTGTTAAAAAGCGTCTTTCTTGACTCTAATTAATAAACTGCAACTATTCAATTAAGAAAATATATTTAAAAACAAAACTTGGACCATTTTCAAAGCAAAAGCCTGCTAAACACAATTTCAGCCCTCCTCCAGGAATTAGCAACTGATGTGCTGACATAGTACATGCATATTTACTTTTGTTATCCTCCAAAACGCATTGTTACCATGGTAACTCATGTAGTGCCACTGCGACCAAGAAACAGAAGTTCTTGGTGGTGATAAAAAAAAGAGGAAGAAACAAAGAAAAAAAAAATCAATGGGGAATTACTAGAAATAAAAGGCATATTAACATACCACCATGTAAACTACTGCAAATTATCTCAGGAAATTCTAGGGAAGGGAGACCACCATTAGGTAAGTGCTACAATTTAACATACTGCTTCTAATTGTTCCTTTATCAGGAAGAATATTGCAACAGCCTTACTGGTTACCTGTCAAACTGTTTGAGTAGCTTCATTAATGTTCGGTCTACTTAATTCCTCATGAAAGAAGAGGCCTTGAATGTTTTGCTTAATATTGTATGACCAGCACGTAGTACAATCAATACCCAACACATAATAAGTATTACAAAATAGTGAAATAAGTAAATAGATGAAAGAAAGCAAGTTTAATGCAATGCCTACAAAACATTCAAAAAGGATTAAAGGAGACTCTGTTGGAGTAAAAAGAAGACTGTTTCCTAATTTTCAAAGTACACTAAGAATAATATTGAGACCTAATAAAATCCTGGGCCGTGGATGATTTTGATTCAGTGAATCTAAGATGGGGCTCAGGAAACTGTAGCTTATGTTTGACATGTGCACGAGGTGAGCCTGATGCATTCTATCTAGGGACTTCCTTTTGAACATATTCAGAAAGGGCATTAGACTAGAAGTCTAAACATTCTAAATTTGCTCCATTGTTGTACAACTTTGTTGAATTTCTAGGTTAGGATTCTTTACTCAGAGTGACATGAAGTAGAATTTTAATTGTTTTCACATATGCGAATTCAAGAACTCTCCCTTATTTCATTTAAAATGGCTCTAATTACAAAAGAATATATATATATTCTGATTACAAATATATATAATTCTGATTTTATACACACACACACACACACACACACACACACACACACACACACATATTTGGGTTTTATATAAGGTTTTATATAAGGTTTCCATTTTTCTTCCAAAGAAGGTTTCTGCTGTTGACAATAATTTGCCAATGATTAATTGAAATGCAAAAACAAAACAACTTTGATAATTTCAAGAATATATATAGTTTCAAAAATAAATCTATGTTTTAGAAATTACCTAATTGATTTGATTAAGGCAGGCAATCTTTCAGAATTTTCTAGACCAAAATAAAATCCATTGGAGTATCATCAATACACTTTTTAAATAAATCATATTTGCCAAATAATCACCAAATTATTTGCTTGTTTTAGATAGAAACTATAGAATATATTTGTTATCAAACAGATTTCCTTTGATTCTTTTTCCCAGATAGAGCACCTTGCTTTTTATCCTGTTACCAAATTGGAAAAGTAAGATTTTATTGTTGGGTACATTGAAATATTGTAATATAGTAAGTAGAAAGATGGAAAGTCTCATTTCTGGTGTTCTTTTTCTCTACTTCTCAAATAAAGAACAACCTGACTTTAATATTTGAAATTTCAGTTTGTTATAGTAATAAAAATGACTGGAAATCAACAACAACAACAAAACCTGTGGCTACGTAATCAGCTATTGCTTTTACTAGCAAAGCCATTTGGAATTTTGCAGCAAACTCTGCCCTAAATGTGCTGAAGGTTAAAGGTTGTTGCATTTTGATCAGGTTCCAGACAAATTGATTCAATCTCTTCTTTGTGGATTTGGCTGAGAACCTAATTTCTTTTTTTATTCTCCTGTCTCCTCTCTTCTTTTCCTCTTCCCATCATGGGCCCTAAAGATGCTGAACTGCTGTTCCCTCATTTGGCCCTTCTCAGTCATAAGCATTCCCCATTGGTCACACACATTGCTAATGCAGTCAGTGACCTCATAAAACAAATAAATTCAAAGATGAAAATGGATGTCCCTATTTAAAAGAGGTCAAGCAGCAAGTGGGAATCAAGTGTGAATAGCAAGCAGACGGCAATTGCATTTCAATGAGACTAGTACTTCCAAAATGCTGGGCTGCCAACACAATTACTATATCATTGTTTTTAAAGAAAAGACATTTATAAAGAATCATTAATGTAAAGCTTATTTTAAAATGTAAAACTTTATATAGCTAATTATTTTAAATGAAAAGCAGATTTATTTCAAAATTTAATACTAGATTGACAATTAAATTTCTAGGATCATTTGATTTCAAGGAGTATATGTATAATAAATGTTCATTACCTCCCTATATGCCAGGGTTGTGCTAATTTATTTCACACACCGATTTGCATGTAGTCTTAATAACCCAGAGGCAAAATAAGTAGATTGTAACCACATTTCAGATGAAGAACCAAAGGCTCAGAGAGAACAAACTACTTTCCACAGTTAAAGTTACAAAGTTGGCTAGGTCGTCACTCAAATCTAATTGTCATTAGATTGTATCACGTCTCTCAAGTATTAGCTACATTTAATAGGATAAGAAAGTTTATAGAGATTAATTGTGAGTAGAGAATATGGTAAAGGCCAATGATGAATTGCTTTTCTATAGACTTTGAAAGATGCATGTCGAGTAATACCAGGTTAAAGAAGAACATGAACAAAGACATGCAAATGAGGGCTTTCAGGGAATGCTGGTTGAATTCTGAGGACTAGCTAGAGACTAACGGTATGAGTTGAGGGGTTTTTACTGAGACGAGAAAGCTGTCAGACCCACCCCAGGCTTTCAAAATTTTACCACTGAACAGCTTGGTAGAGAAAAAAAAAAAATAATGATAATAACATAATGATAAGAAGAGTCTATATTCATTTACATTTCTTGGCTCCCCTGTTTCTTCATTCGTTTATTTGTCCATTAATTGGCCAAGGTTTTATCCAAAGCTGACTCTATGCCAAAACAATTATAATATTCAGGGATGGGATGAGGCATAGTACAGGAAGGTAGGCTGAGGATCCTGAGCTATGGTAACACAGAAATATGTATCTACTTAAATTTGGGGAACAGATGAGGCTTCCTTTCGACCTAACTGAAACTTGAAACAACAGTATGAGCTGGACAGATAAGCCAGGGATGGACACATGGAGATCTACAAAGATAAGGGAGAAATAAATTTAAGCAAACATACATCCCAAATAATAACAGTATAAAATACACCCAGATGCCCAGAGAGCTCCAAGTGATTGAGTTGAATTGAACATGAGGCTATAAATGTATTTTGAGGTCATGCTGAGTAACCTGTATTTTATCCTGTCAACAATGGAAACAAATGTTAAGCTGAGGAGAAGATCCTTGGTTTCGGAACATGACTCAAGCTTTGTTGTTACCGGGATTGTGCCCTGGGTTCTTATAATCTCCCAGGTTAGAATCAGAAAGATCACCAGATATGGCAGCAAAGTGAAAGTTAAATTGTATTGAGCTTGTGCACAAGGGAGCCAGCACCACAAAAGGAAAAGGATGGGCTGTTCTCTGAGGATAGTAGGTGGTTTAGTTTTAAGTGGCCTTTCTACAGGAAAGGGTTTCATCAACGTTTTTATAGGAGGGGTTTCTTTAGCGCTTGCACGGTAGCTCCACAGGCTTCTGCATACTTTGCATGTAACATTGGCATTTTATTTATTCATTCATTCATTTATTTTGAGATGAAGTCTTGCTCTGTCTCCCAGGCTAGAGTGCAGTGGTGCAATCTCGGCTTACTGAAACCTCTGCCTCCTGGGTTCAAGTGATTCTCCTGCTTCAGCCTCCTGAGTAGCCGGGATTACAGGAACTCACCACCGTACTCGGCTAATTTTTGCATGTTTTAGCAGAGACAGGGTTTCACACTCTTGGCCAGGCTGGTCTCGAACTCCTGACCTCGTGATTCACCCTCCTTGGCCTCCCAAAGTGCTAGGATTACAGGAGTAAGCCACTGTGCCCAGCCAACATTGGCATTTTAAATCTCCACTGCCAGGCATGATTTTTAGCATTAAAATGAGGAAAAGCTCACTATCAGGTGAAGTTTACATCTAACTGTGCATGTGGGGTCCTAGGGAATCCCCTAGCCCCCAAGGCAGGGATTTATGCTTAATAGCTTCTTGGGTCTTTTGCTGCTGATTAGCTGGAAGTTAGATAAGCTACAACCTGAGTAAGGAGCTTTGATTATTTTTCTCTAAACTACATTGAAACAGGAAAGCGGCCTGACTGCCTGTCGTAGCTGCAGTGTGGAAAATGGTTACTAGAGCCTGGATAGGCAGGTGGGGATGTACGTGTTGCTGTGATAGAGTCATGGATGAGGAAGAAGAATTCACAGATACTCCCTCACAGATATGAGAATGTATTTATTTTACTAAGTCCCATATTTTGGCACAAAATAAATTTTCTGGGGCTCAAAATGAAAATATTATTTTATCTCCTTCCTCAAAATGGTTTATCTTGTGTTGTTTGTTGAATAAAGTAGAGTGGATCATTGCACACCACCTTCATTCTCATCTCAGTAAAATTGAGGTTTTTTTTCCCTGTTCCTGCTTCTGAAAAGATAATTTTCCCCCCACATTGCCTGGAGGGAACTGGCCCTTCTTGAACAGCCGAAGTGACCCCGGCCCCTGGAGAGGCAGAATCTTTGACCCTGAGGCTACTGCAGCTTTTGAATTACTGCCAAGATGCTGCTGGCATCCCCTGGAGAAAGACTACAGGATCTAGAAAAGATGAGGGAGATTTTTAACATGTTTAAAAATATTTATCAGTGCAGAAATTGAATGTCGAGAAACCACTGCAATGAAGATTAAACTAGCACAATCAGGCTAACGATGGCTAACATTTTGTTGAGGACATTAATATAGGGCAGCCATTGTTTTCAACATTTTATGGAGACTTTCTTATTTTATTCTGACCACCTGTGAAGTGCTGTATCAGTCCAGATTCAAGTGGGAAAACTAAAGATACTCAAATTAGGATATTTAGAAGAGAAGTAAATTAAGAGACGTTTACAACTGTGTGCCTAAGATGGAAGGAATTCAAAAGATATAATGCAGAATATCTGGACTATGAACAGGTGCGCTCTCTTATCACCACCAGGGCTAAAAGGGAAAGGAGAGGAAGCAGTAACTGGAAGTGCATATTGAGAAGAGAGGTAAAGAGGGCCACAAAATGGGAACTGAGACTAGGGTGGAGGCATGGAAATGCCTGCATTGACCTTGCAAAAGAGTCAGAGCAGTGGAACCAATATTGTATTGGCCAGGTTCTCCAGAGAAACAGACCAGTAGGAGATATCTCTTTGTATTTGATAGATAGAAAAATAGATAGATAGATAGATATAGAGATAATTATAAGAATTATTTAAGACAGTTACACACACACACACGCACACACACACGATTTATTTTAAGGAATTGGTTTATGTGATTGCAGGGCCTAGGCAGTCCTAAATGTGTAGGGCAGAACGGCAGACTGGAAACTCAGACAGGAGTTGATATTAGAATCTTAAGTCTGAAATGCATAGGGCAGGCTGGCAGGCTGGAGTATTCAAACAATTTCTATAGTTCCGTCTTGAGGCAGAATTCCTTCTTTAAGAAGCTTCAGTTTTTGCTCTTAAGGCCTTCAACAGATTGAATGAGGCCCACCTACACTATCAATACTCACCTCCTTTACTTAAAGTCAGGTGATGGTATATGTTAATTATATCTACAAAATACCTTCACAGTGACATCTAGACTATTGTTGGACCAAATAATTCAGCATCATAGCATAGCCAAGCTGACCCATGAAACTTAATCTTTAAGAATACCTGAGGCTTTTCTTTTCTTCCTCTCTTTAGTCTACTGCTGGGGCTGTTAACCAAACCCAACTCATAAAGCAGAGGATAAGGAGGTCTTTTGACACAGTCTGGAAAAGGTAGGCTCTCTGGCATCTGTGTATAGCTCCACTGCTTCCTCTCTGCCATCAGTGATACCCACAAATACACAGGTGGGAAATTATTTTGTCAATATTTAAAATATTTTTAAAAAGATATTTGCCTTGTTTTTAAATTAAAATTATGGCATTTATTACTCTCTATAGAACATTTTCTCGTATTTCTTATTTTTACTTTTTAACTTAGTACATTTTCACCACATGTACATTTGATAGCTCTATTTTGCAAATATGTGAATTCAATGGATAGGCTAGGTAACTTGCTACAAGTAAAAAGCTACAGAGTGATAGATTTAAGACTTGATCTTATGTCTTCAAGAATTAATTTGCCAAGTGCTATCTACCACAGTTCTTCAGTATGTGTTGCACACATGAATCTAGGATATCAGTAAAATACATATGACTCAGCAACGCCCATATCCATTTGGAATCAGCTGAGATGGGGCGTTGCTGCAAAATCAGAAGTTTTAATTCTCTGTGTCAATAATGTTTCTTATTAATGGATTTACCTGCGAGAAGAATGTGAAATAGTTTTTGACGTCTAGACTTAATTTAGATAATCCATTATATTTCTGTCCAATAAAATGTTATACACGTGTCCATCAATACCAAATAAGAATTCTTTTTCTAAAAGGTGTTCTCTTTATTAGTATGATTATCTGTACCTTCTATCTAGGCTATTTCAGTTTCTAGTTTGTTTTTTAGATATATTTTTGGTCCATTTGCCAAACAATATATTTGCTAGCAGAAAGATATTCTTAGTGCCCAGATTCTGATGCTTTTATCTGAATAGGTATGCTAATTTATTGAAGATTTTATATTTGTTTGTTTTATTTTGAAAGACAAATTATGCTGACTTTTTTCTTCTTTGAAATTTTGTTGTTAGCTCATCAACTTTATTTTGCTCAAATTGAGAGTGGCAGTTACTACTCTTTAATTGCTTGATTTCTTTTTGGCACAATAAGGGCAGAATAGGATAAATGTGTTAGATACTGATTTCTAGGGAAAACCAGCTATTTCCTAAACATCTTTAGATCAGTGGTCATCAGAGTTACTCTGTAAAGGAACTCATAATAAGTAACTTAGGCTTCGCGAGCCATATAGTCTCTGTCATAATGCCTGTACTCTGTCACTGTAGCACTGGAGAAGCAATACACAATAGGGAGAGAAATGGGCATGCCTTTGTTCAAATAAAACTTTATTTATAAACACTGGTATTGGAATTTCATGTAATTAGCCAACTTTTGATTTTTTTCAACCACCTCATAATATTGTTAAAAAACTATTCTTAGCTCAAAGGCTGTACTAAAACAAGGGGTGGGCTGAATTCGGCTCCATGGGCCATGGTTTGCAGACTCCTGCTCTAGGGACATCCCAAAAGGACATTTCCCAACAGAGATGTGTCACATATTTTCTTTTTTCTTTTTTTTTTCTGAGACAGAGTCTTGCTCTGTCACCCAGGCTGGAGTGCAATGGCACAACCTGGGATCACTGCAACCTCCGCCTCCTGGGTTCAAGAAATTCTCGTGCCTCAGCCTCATGAGTAGCTGAGATTACAGGCACATACCACCATGCCTGGCTATGTTGTTGTTGTTGTTTTTGTATTTTTAGTAGAAACATGGTTTCACCATGTTTTCCAGGCTGATCTTGAACTCCTGAGCTAAGGCAATCCGTCCACCTCGGCCTCCCAAAGTGCTAGGATTACAGGAGTGAGCCACCATGCCCGGCTGATGCGTCACATATTGATTACACAGTTTTTGATGGAGATTAGAGAGATGTCAACTGATATTTACTGTTCATTTATTCTGTTGTGTGTTGTATAGGCTTGCTCAGTTAGTCCTCCCAGATGACTGAGGACACCAAACTTTCTCCCTCACCTCCATGTAATCTCTGTGGCTTCATTGGAAATCAGAGAAAGCCACAAAAGAGGCAAATGAGAGAGTTTGTGAGTAGCACCTTAGTCTGCTTTTATGCAACACACCAGAGTTGACATTTGCCTTATGCTCTTGAAGATATTTTGATATCTAGAGACTTCTTGGTCATGACTTTTATTTCTTAAATATGGCAGTTCACACCAATTTAAATATCTTTAAGAATTTATACACTCTATTTTCAAGGATTTTAAGAAGCAAGATCCTAAAGCAGTGGTTCTCAAGCTTAGCAACACAATCATATCATCCAGTCTTTAAAATTCCTAAGGTCAAAGCCACAGGCCAAAACAATTAAAGCAAAATCTATAGAGATGGGATTCAGGCATCAATGTTTTTTAGAACTCCCTAGGATAATCAAATGTAAAGGCAAGGTTAAGAACTACTGTTCTAAACAAGGGTGCTATGTTCAAAAGTACAGAATTGTTGCTCATAAATACATATGGATTGTAGGAAGGATAGCAGGTTGTTTGTATGTGTATACACACAAACGCATATATAAAGTATATACACACACATACACACACACATATATAAAGTGTATACACACACACACATATATAAAGTCTCTTAAAGATCCAAGGATTTCTGTGTCCAATGTAAAACAATTTTATCAGGTTTTCTAACTCCTTATTTAAAAAAATTCTTACAGATTGTTGACATAGCTATTAATGATCTCCTCCAGGAATTCTTGCTAAACACACAGTTTTGCATCTAGAAAATCAGGGAACATAAAAGGGACATTTAATTTAATCATATATTTTACATTATACATGTCTGCCTATCTGTCTATTCATCTGTCTATTGATCTATCATTCTAATAAGATAAATACAAGATTACAAGAGAAGGGGAGCCTGACTTTTGATTTGTGTATGACCCCATGTTATCAAATTTTGAAACAGAAAATATGTTAGTAAGATAAATGTATAGGCAATGCTACAGTGTTTGGTCAGAAGTTGGGGGATGCTGTGGCCAGATCTGTGTTTACTGACTTGTGAGGAGGATGGATTCAAGGCAAGGGACGTTAAAGGCAAAACATCGGTTAGGAGGTAAGTATAATTGTGCACATAAGAGAGGATAAGGGATAAAATGACAAGCTTCAGTGGAAATGTATATTCAATGAGACTTGGTGGTTGAATACATGTAAAAGACGGGATAGAATTTTCCAGGACCCTTGAAAATATTAAAACGTGAAATTTTGAGGAATGTGTTTCAGGTCTGTGATGTATATCACAGTGGTCTCTCCAGGCTGCAGTTTTGTTGACAATAACTAAATATCTAAATGCTGACAGACAGGCGGGAATAATAACGAACTTGCAGATAGGAAATATCACATTTTTTTTTCTGTTTTTTCCATCTATACGTTTTGTTTCTGTATGTGGAATACAACCATACAATCTGGAATTAATTGTACCTTCTTAGTGGTAATTTCTAACATTTGTATGTTAATGCTTCTGTTTTTTGACATGTTCCACTGGCTAAAATGTCCAGGGCAATACTGGATGATAATTGGCTGTCATTGTCAATACCCTTTTTGAAAATAATGGTCATTAGCTTCGAATATTTAGCATTACCTGATGACTTTTAGGATAAGTTCTGGGTAATTTCTCTTGAATAAAGTTGAAGTGTCATGTATTCCTCCCATATTTTAAAATCTAAGAATGCATCTGTTTCATCTGATATTTTTACAATTCTTAAAATCTGGGACTAGATGTTATTTTTCTCTAAGTTTTGAAAATTTACATTTTATCTGATGTTCTTCTCCGGATATTTGAATTATACTCAGTTGTATTATCTTTATTATTTTTCTATTTTCTTATTCAGTAGCTCCAGCATATAAATACAAGACCAGTAACACCAGTATCACTTATGACTTGTGAGGAGGTCTGAGCACGGTGGCTCACACCTGTTCCTAGCACCTTGGGAGGCGAAGGTGGGAGGATTGCTTGAGCCTAGGAGTTCGAGACCAGCCTGGGCAATATAGCAAGACCCCATCTCTACAAAAAAATTAAAAATTAGCTGGGCATGGTGGCAAACACCTGTAGTCCTGGCTACTCTGGAGGCTGAGGCAGGAGGATGATGGCTTTAAGCCCAGGAGTTCGTAGCTGTAGTGAGTTATGATCATGTCACTGCATTCCAGCCTGGGACAGAGGGAGAGTATGTGTCTTAAAAAACAGCAACAATAACGAATAACTTGTAAGAAATGCCAAATCTGAAGTCCCACTCCAGACAAACCAAATTAGAAACTTCAAGAGTGGGGCCCACATTTTGTAGTTTACTAAGTCCTCTGGGTTATTTAGATGTTCACCCAAGTTTGAAAACTACTATTTCTGTTCCTTACGGAAGTTTTTTATTTAAAAAAATTTCTTCTTCTTGCTGTGCTTCAGGTTTTTGTTTTTAAAATTGTTGCTTTTTATTTACTAATTTACTGAGAATCTATTCCTCACTTTTATAAATTACAAAAACACATGATTTCTTTTTTATTCCCAGTGCTTTAGTGGGACTCTTTTTAATTGACATGTGTAATAATAGTACGTATTTATGCAGTAGAGTGTAATTTTTTTTTTTTTTTTTTTTGATGGAGTCTCATTCTGTCGCCCAGGCTGGAGTACAGTGGCGTGATCTCGGCTCACTGCAAGCTCCGCCTCCCGGGTTCATGACATTCTCCTGCCTCAGCCTCCCAAGTAGCTGGGACTACAGGCACCCACCACTATGCGTGGCTAATTTTGTTTTGCTTTGTTTTGTATTATTAGTAGAGACGGGGTTTCACCGTGTTAGCCAGGATGGTCTCATGTACATACTATGTAATTGTCAAATCAGGGTATTTAGCATATCTATTATCATACATTTGTGTGTGTATGTGTGTGTGTGTGGTAAGGTGAGAACATTCTAAATCCTCTCTTCTAGCTATTTTGAAATACACAGTGTAGTATTTTTAACCACAGTCATCCTACTTGTGCCATAGCACATCAGAACTTATTTTCTCTATCTTTGTATTAAGATTTTTCATTGAGGGATAATTTGTATACAGTAAAATGCACAGCTCCTAAGTGAAGATGATAAGTTTTGGCAGTTGAATACTTCCAAATAACTACCACCCAAATTAGAATTTAGAACATTTCCATGACCAGGATGCCTTCTTATAGTCAGCCTCACCATTTCTCAGCTTCTAGGCCACAACTTTCTGATTCTATTATCGTAGATTGTTTTTGCCCATCCTTCTACTTCCTATCAACAGAATCAGGTGCACCTTTGCTTCTTTCATTCACATGATGTGTTTGAGATTCTTCTTTGTTGTTACATAAATCAGTTGCTTGTTTCTTTTTTTTGATGAGTAGTATTTCATTCTGTTAATAGACTGGAATTTGTTTCTCCATTTTCCAGTGGCTAACCCATTTGCGTTATTAAGTGTTTCGGCTGCAATGAAGAAGGCTGCGATAAACATTTTTGTAGAAGTCATTTTTGGTGGACACGTGCATTCATTCCTCTTTTGATAAGAACCAATGAATTGGTTGTTAGTTAAAAAGAAGATTCAAAGGGAAAATGAGTGTTCAACTTCATAAGAAAGCTAAAACAGTCTTCTAAAGGCACTGTACCTTCCTATACTCACACCAGCAATGTATGAAAGTTTCATGTGTTTCACATGCACACTCACATTTCATATTGTCTTTTTTTATTTTAGGAATTTTAGTGGGTATGGCAGATCTCATTGTGGAATGATACTTGTTTTAAACATTTGTTTTCAATAATAAATGAGTTTAACACTTTGAACTTGTTTCTGGATTTTATTTTGCTTAATCTTATTAACACATAGTTGTATTCACATATTTTATTTTTCCTAGGCTTTTTTAAAATTGAAATGAGTAATACCCCTATTTTTGTAGATGATTCTTGGAGCAGGAGCCAATTTACTTGCTCACAAATTTGAGGGTAAGAAATTGAGGGAAGGCACAGTGAGGATGGGTTTGTCTCTGTTTCACAAGGCAGCAATTGGGGTAACTCGAATTGCTGGGGCCAGTTCAGATGCATCTGCAGTGATCATGCGTCTGGGTCTTGTGATTTACATTGTCTGTATCTCTTGGATCTTGTCCAGTAGCCTCTTCATATGGTTAATTTGGGCTTCTCGGGCATGATAGTCTCAGGGTACTTAAAAATCTGGCTTTCCTCAAGAGACAAAAATCAGAAACTTCTAAGTCTTAAACCTTAGGGATGGAACTTACATTTCCACCTCCCTCTATTGGTTACAGCAGTTCTCATGCTTAGCCCAGAATCAACGGGAGAGGACTACACAAGGACATGAATACAGGAAGAAATCATTTATTAGAGTCCACCAATGTAACAGACTACTAAAGTTTACATTATTAATACGAAACTAATAACACAGGAGAACGAAAAATATGTTCAGAAAATATCAACAAACAAAAAGAAATGAGAAATTGAATTATTACTAGCAGACAAAGTAGACTTGAAAAAATACATTGGGATAAAAGTCTCATTTTATATTGCAAATAAGTTAATGATTAAAAAACTAGTAATCTTTAAATTTTATATGCCAAATAACATAATGATGCCATATAAATAAAATATGCTGATGCTTTAGGAGAAATTTTCTAAAAATGCAAGTATGGGAAACCTATTTTTGTAGCACAAATCAATGACTTTATTAATAAAGTTGATATAATAAAAATACGTGGAGAACAATACACCCTTAAAATTTAGCACATCTTGAACAGAGAAGTATTTGCAAGCTCAATACTTACTACAAAAATAATTTGGATATTCTTTACAGGCCATCTCACAGTAGTGCATCTTGGTTCTGTTCATATCTTCCTCATTTTAAGGTGGGTAGTTTATTTCCACTGACTCCAAAGTTTTGGTGTTTGATTGCACTCTGTCTTCTGTTATGAAAGATTTTATTATTCCTATTGCCTAGAAAGTTTACCGTTAAAAAACATTCATTTCTAAATACTTCGCAATAACGTGTAGTTTTCTCTTTGCCAGAAGCACTGCAGCACAAGCTACAAAATTCAAAGGGCAATGTTTCATGGCCTGATCCCTCCTCGGTCTGACACGCCCTTGCCTGCTTACCATTTCCCATGTTAGGGTTGCATTACTGAGAACTCTAGTCTCCAAAGAGATATATTAGAGAGAGGTGGTGGTTGAGTATGTGGGGAAAATGAATGACCCTGGATAATCAAGAGGCAGAACTCATTGCAAGGGAAGATGGGTTGCAAGATTTCTGATAGGTAGTGTCTGCTTTTGATTAACAGTGGGTACTCAGTAACAACGTATGATCATTCCCTTCCCACTCTATTTTGCCTCTAGGCCTTCCTGTGTTTTGATATTAAAATTATCTGTTTTAAAAAAAGAAAACAAAGAAATTATCTGTTTTGGTTTCTGTCTCCTCCTGGTTTGTCAGCTCTTTGAGGCAGAGACCATAATGTATTCATAGTTCTCCACCTGATATATAGGCTCAATGACTGGTATATTGGAAGCAAACAGTGAATGTGCATGTGCCATATCCCCATTCTCACCAAGAAACAAAATAAAACAGAACAGATACAGAGCTCTACATCGTATTACAATAGAATAGGATCATTGAAAAGAATTTTACTAAAAGCCAAAGACATGAAAGTAGTTTTCAAATGAGAGGCAGTGAGTAACTAAAAGGATAGCAGAGGTCAAAATCTTAGAGTTTTAGTGATGGGCTTGAAGGCTTTACAGCTGAAAAGAAAAATCCCTAATAAAGGGATTAGCTAACCATGAGTCTGATGAGTAGGAAGTGGGGCCACCTTCAGAAGCACGTAGAAGAATTGATTGTACTTTCCTATCTTCAGTTTTTCTTCAGTAGCAGTAGTTTTGGTTTTAAATATACATATACATGTGTGTCTATGGATGTGTATGCCTTCAAGGTAATGTGTGCCCCTTCTATGGAACCAACAGTTGAGAGATAAAAAGCCTCTAAATTTCCCCGAACTTCAACACTGATAACATTTTAAATACACTTGTCATGTCTATTCTCTATATACTTTTTTTTCTAAAATATTAAAATAATTTATACATGCACACATACCCAACAAATGCTTTTCAATCCTTTTTCTTTGGCTTTTTATTATAATTTTGTACTTTTTAAAAGTCATATATAAATGACTAAATGATAATCCAGCTGTATGGATATTATAATCTTTTACTTTCCTAGTCAAACATTTTCATTATTTACTTTCCTAGTCAAACATTTTCATTGTTCTTTTGTTCTTATTGTGATTTTTGTTTTCTTTTTCTTTTTTTTTTTTTGAGATGGAGTCTCGCTGTGTCACCCAGGCTGGAATGCATTGGCCTGATCTCGGATCACTGCAAGCTCCGCCTCCCGGGTTCACGCCATTCTCCTGCCTCAGCCTCCCGAGTAGCTGGGACTACAGGTGCCCACCACCATACTCGGCTAATTTTTTGTATTTTTAGTAAAGACGGGGTTTCACCTTGTTAGCCAGGATGGTCTCGATCTCCTGACCTCGTGATCCACCTGTCTCAGCCTCCCAAAGTGCTGGGAATACAGGTGTGAGCCACTGCGCCCAGCCCTTATTGTGATTTTTCTATCTGAGTTCTTAAGCTTGCTTCTGGAAGCATCTGAGACTTAGAAAAACAAAAAGAGAGAATAGTGAAAATGGGGCTTCCTCACAAAATTAAGGTGCATGATTTTTTCTTCTCCTACATGCTGAATGTAATATTCATACAGTAGCAAATAATCTACATTTTCTTAGACACTTTTTCTTAGATAAATTAGTTTTTCAAATGACATTGATGTCTTTGTCACTATAAGTGGCATTCCTGAACCAGGTTTCTGTTGGATTTTTGTGAGTCCCAAACCCTCTTTTAACAGAATCATTTAAGAAATTGTTTTAGCAACTATTCTGTCATTTTTTTGACATCTGGATTTGTTTTCCTGCAAGTCTGTCAGAAGACAAGTGTAGATTTATATGTAGACATACTATGAAAACTGCCTATTCACTGAAAGTAATATATGTGTGCTACAGCTTTATCATATTGCCATTGTAACCTTTCACATGCTTGCCATTAGAGAATAAAGTCACTTTTTAAGAAATGGAATGCCAATTAAAGTCCAAGAAGTTTTTTGAGAAGTTGATCCCCTTGTTTAAAAGTTTGGATCTTATACCTCACAGATTATTCTCAGGAGATCAGACTAAAATAATCTCTGGGTGTTAGCATAAAATCATAATCCAAATGCACATAAGAAAAATGGAAATAGGACTATGTAGAAACACTGAAGAACTAACCGTTTTTTCCTGTGTAAATCTGATTTTCAGTAGAAATTGTAGTTATGTTTTCTGTATTGCAATATAACACAAATTGCACTGAAGTCATTTCAAAGGGCACTGAGTTCATGCACAGTTTTCTTTAAAATAACCAGGGAGATTCAACAGAAATAGTGTGTACTGGCTGGATTTCAAAGAGAAATACATATTCTACAGAGTTTATTAGTTGACTCTTACTTCCAACCTCATCATTATGCTAAACAATTTAAAGAAAGATTAGTTGAGCTTTTACTATGTGCCAAGGTCTATGTCACATTCTCTGCATTCATTATTTTATTCGATTCTCAGTCTTCCTGAGAAATAGACAGTATTTTATCCCAGTTTTAGAATTGAAGATTTCAGATTTAAAATCCTAAAAGAGCTTGCTCAAATTCATATTGCTATTAAATTATACAGCTGGATTTGAATCCCAATCATCTGAAAACGTAGTTCCTCTTTTTTTTTTTTTTTTTTTTTTTTTTTTTGAGACAGAGTCTTGCTCTGTGGCCCAGGCTGCAGTGCAGTGGCTTGCAATCTTGGCTCACTGCAAGCTCCGCCTCCCGGGTTCACGCCATTCTCCTGCCTCAGCCTCCCGAGTAGCTGGGACTGCAGGCACCCGCCACCACGCCTGGCTAATTCTTTTGTGTGTGTGTGTGTGTGTGTGTGTGTTTAGCAGAGACGGGGTTTCACCTTGTTAGCCAGGATGGTCTCGATCTCCTGACCTCGAGATCCACCCGCTTCGGCCTCCCAAACTGCTGGGATTACAGGCGTGAGCCACCGCCTCCGGCTTCCTTTTCTTAATGACTATGGTGAGGTGAGGTTTGCTTAACCTCTATCACCTTTCTCTAATAGTACATTATCAATATCAGGACATTAATACTGGCAAAATACTAAGAACTAGATTACAAAACGTATTCAGGATTCACCAGTTTTTGCATGCATTCACTTCTGTGTGTGTGTGTGTGTGTGTGTGTGTGTGTGTGTGTGTGTCTGCAGTTCTGTGAAATTTTTATCACATATTTAGATTTGTGAAAACACCACCTTAATCTACTCAGTGTTTTACTTCTGAGGAGAGTTATAGCTTGTACCTAGGGCTTAATTTAATTATATGCATCACAAGCATGGAAATAAGACAAAAGTAATCTTTGCAAGGTTGGAGTCAGCCTCATCATGGCTGAACAGGCTTAATCTCAGGCATCCACAACAAGGGAAACTATGGTGGAGAATAGAACATAGCACTTTGAAAATGAACGGGGAGTCTCAGGAAAGTCACAATTAGGTGACTAATCTAAGGAGACAGAAGTAGGATTTCAAATGGGACTCAAATTTTACTAATTTGCCAAGTAGTATTGATGGTAGTGCATCCACAAGAGTCTTAAGTTATTGTCGAAAATAGAAGTGAAATTTGTACAGCTTTTCTAGTTACTATGCATAACAAATGTGAATGGGTAGGACTAGCTTAAAGGAATATAAAGTTGTAATGGACAATTTAGATTTCAGATTTATTACACACATGATAGAAAATGTGTTCTAAAACCTGGTACAAGAAAAATGACATCATTTCTTTGTTATAGAATTTAATCTCCTCTATATTCACACAGAGCTACGTGAAGAGGGCACTGGCACCTCTCTCTCCCAAGGTACTGCCAGGCTCTGATTCTCTGTGTTAAATGAAGGTCAGGGAGGGTGAGTTGAAGAATGGTGGATTGGAAATGATCATAAACTTTCTCAGCAATGAAAATGTTGAGTCTGTATGCATTGCAGGGCTGAACATTTGTTGGAATTTCAGATGAAGTAAAAGTAAATAAATAAAAAACATAAAAGTGCACAAATCTGTCAAAGTTATTTTTGTGCTTTCTGCATCTGGAAAACTTTCCCTGCATCCTTCCCATTTCACTATTTGGCCTTATTTATGAAATATTAACATATTCATTTAATGTGCAATCCCCAGACATATTTACACTCCCTACGTGGAAGCTTTTCTAGGACATGCATCTTGTGTTAGTCATATTATTCATTTTTTTATTATTAGGGTATGCTGAATTCACACATGGTAGATGTTCAATAAATGTAGGCTAAATGGAACAAGAATGATGTTTATTGAATCCTTAACAAGTGTTATAAGAACATTTAGCACACAGAATACTCAAGTATGTCTTTCTATTAACAGTGATTAAGAAGGTCTTCTATAGAGGAATAAGCTAAGTACCATGAAGAGCACTCAACAAAGTAAGACCACCCAACTATTCAATTAGAGATAGAGAATTTTTTTCTGAAATCTTTGATGTGGCTCAGAATATACCACCCCAAAATATGCCGTTTTTGCATAAAGATTACTTTGAGCTGAAGGCAAATGAGAATCAACAGATACAGCGAGATGCCATCTGAGAAACAAAGTTTACCAGAAGTCTCTCCTCCCAGGAAAGTTTTGTGGCCATAAAAGCTGAAAGTTGGCACTGAGACGGGTCTGCAAACAAATCTTATTAAAATAATCTTTATCTTCCGCCAACTTCCTTCATATATTTCCTACTGACTTCTCCACAGTTTTCTGTTGTTTTGTCTCCACAATTCATTGAATTTATTGAATTTTGGAGACAAGACAATTTTTCTTTAATTAAAAATTATATAAGCTCTCAGGGCTAGCTGCTTTTTGGGGTCTTTTCTTTTTGACACAGAGTCTTGCTCTGTCACCTGGAGTGCAGTGGTGTGATCTCATTTGAAGTAATACTCTTGCCTCAGCCTCCCAAGTAGCTGGGACTGCAGGTACACACCACCACATCTGGCTAAGTTTTGTAGTTTTAGTAGAAACAGGTTTCACCTTGTTCATCAGGCTGGCCTTGAACTCCTGACCTCAAATAATCCACCTGCCTTGACCTCCCAAAGTGCTGGGATTACAGGCATGAGCCACCGCGCCTGACTATGGTCTTTGTTTTTCTATGAAGCCCTCTGTATGCAGATGTAAGAATGAAACTTTACTCCTGTTAATCTGTCTTGTTAGTCTAATTTGCAGGGTCCCAACCACTAAACTTAAGAGGTTAGAGAAAAAATTTGTTATTATTTTTCTCTCTTGCAGCTTAATCACATTTACTTTTTCTGGGGGGAAAATGATCTAATTTAATTAATTTTATTTAATGAGAACCAAAATATGAATCAGGGATTTTTTAAATGGTGTATAAATAATTAAAGTAAGAAGTCTTGTTAATGGAAAATCCCAACTATATGGATGCAAATAATAATTTGGAATTCAGGAGCAATCAGGGGAAATCTGCCAAGAGTTATTTTAGGGAAGAATAGCACACATTTGATTCTGTGTGAAGCAGGATAACAAACAGCACTGCTGTTGATTGGAAAGATTTACAGAACCACTTAGAAAGTAAGAAGCTGCTTATTCTGAAAAAGTGAAGCAGAACGTCAAGGAACTGTTGCAAAGGTATCCTTTTGCCTCTAAAGGCTGCTTAGGCTGATCTATATTCCTCATTCTTCTCTTCCCTCTTCCCTCCATCCCCCAAATGTTCCTGTAGTCCAGCTCACCAGAGTTTGGTTTTATAACCTCACCTGGGAAAACTGAGGAAGAAAGAAAAAAGAATAAAGTGAAAAAGCAGGATTTCAAGATGAAAATAAATGAAACTATAAAAGGACTCGAGGTGGTAGAGGAATAAAGTTTGAAATAAGATGACAGATTGTGAAACTCATCGCAGGTATTTGGCCTAAAAGCATAACGAACTCTAGTTCTGCCAGGCTTGTTTTATGACCAATGCATTTAAAAGGAAAAGTAAAAAAAAAAAATCAGCTATTAAAATCAGGATTTTGAAGGGGAAGTAGTAATTGAAAAATGTGTCTTACATCACACCAAGTAAAAAGAAAAAATGACAGACAATAAAATTGCAGCCACGCAAGTCATCTAACAGTACTCAGATCATGCATATGTATTGACAGGGTTTGATAGGAGACATGTAAATTTAGAATGCTTACATTTGTTAAAGTAATGACATTATTATTGGAATGTTTTTTCATTATGATATTCATCAATGTCATAATGGAAGTTGTACAATAAATATGATGACTTTTAGCAGAAGAGAAAAGTCGCTGTTTCATCCTGTGTTCTCCCAGTAAGACAATTTGACGAACTTTCTTGGATTTCAAATATATACTTTGTAAATAATTATACATTTTATTTACTACCAAATGACTCAGAGTTCTTTTAGGGTATAGCACAAAACAAAACAAGCATTTGGTGAATTCTTAGGATCTGATAGACACAATTGATTAGTTGGATCCATAGGAACATGTCAGAGTGATTGCAATTTTCCCCATAGGCTTAACCTATTCCTACTGTGGCGATTTTCCAATTGTGCCAGTCAGATTTTTATAAAACAGAAATAAGATTTAAACTGATCTGATTTGCTATAACATTTACACAAAAGCCAACTTTGTGAAATTTATTTCTGAGATCTTTACATTTCATTCCACTGCTAATGTCAAGGATGCCATGAGTATAACAAACTGTCCTATCAGTAGGAACTTTGTACCAAGAAAGTCTGTAGCTTAAGTGAGAGAAGATATCAGGTCCTCCATTAACTGAAGATATTGAGCAAACAAGTATTTAATATCTTCTCTGAGCAATTTTAAAATCAGTAAAACATATCTGTCCCATTTAGAACTCTAGATTGTGGTAAGAACCAAATGAGGCAATGAATGTAAAATGGATTTATAATTTTCAAAAGTTGATGCAGATAGTCTTGTTATTGTAATTGGCCAATAGTGATTTGTAATAACTGAATTACTCAAGTATGTTGTCTTCTGACCTTTTCATCCTCTGAATAAATTTTGTCACTAGAAAAGTAGTATTTGAAAAATGTCCCATAACCCTTGGAAAAAATATTATGTAGACTTCATCATTTTATTTAGCATATAACATGTGCCTCATACTCTCACACAATTCAGAATAAAATATCATACATGTTGCATAACCATATATTTGAAGTTTATTTCAAAGTTAGTCAATAAATAACAAAAAGTTGATATTGATCGAGGATTTTAAGTATTCCAAGGTAAATATTTTACTGTATTTTATTCTGTTTTACTTTTATTATAACACATTTTAGCATTTTATAAAAAGAACAAGACATTAATAAAAGCACCTGAAAATTCTATGCGAACATTTTTAATTAAAATAACCAAGTATATAAGGTTTTTATAAAATGATGAAATTACCTCCTTTAATAATCATGTAATATGTTATCTTTTTTAATCAAACTTTATAAAAGAGTCTTGGGAAAGATGGAAGGAGGGAAGGAGGGAAGGAAGGAAGGAAAGAGAGAAAGAGAAAGAGAAAAAGAGATGAGGGACAAGGAGGGGAGGGAAAGAGGGAGGGAAGGAAGGAGGGAAAGAGGGAGAGAAAAAAAGTTATCCTGTTAGCACATCATAGAGAAGAATTCTTATGGTATAGAAATGTCCAATTTGGCAGATTCCACAGTTTTACAAATAAATAGAAATATCATCATGCAGAGCATGTGGCAGGAAAAATATTTTGTAAAAAACTTTTAACAAAAAAAAATTTTTACTCCAGGCCTTGAAAGAAACATAAAAGAAAGATTTATATTGATCAGAGCTTGTAAGAATCCTGGCCGGGTACAGTGGCTCACACCTGGTAACCCCAGCACTTTGGGAGGCCGAGGTGGGTGGATCACTTGAGGTCAGGAGTTCTAGACCAGCCTGACCAACATGGAGAAACCCAGTTTCTACAAAAAATATGAAAATTAGCTGAATGTGGTGGCACACACCTGTAATCCCAGCTACTTGAGAGGCTGAGGCAGGAGAATCACTTGAACCTGGGAGGCAGAGGTTGCAGTGAGCTGAGATTATGCCACTGCACTCCAGCCTGGGCAATAGCGTGAGTGAGATTCCAACTCAAAAAAAAAAAAAAAAATCCTGAAATAAAAGTGACCAGTCTTGATACAACTCACATGAGATTTAATTGGAAATTAGATAAAAGAATCAGTAAAAGAGAAGAAACAGAAGAAGAGAAAACCATACAATACTTAAACTCATTCCATCTAAGGAGGTCACCCAATTTTAGGTTTGCTAGGACAGTGTCATAGTTTACCATCACTGGTATGGTTTGACTCTGTGTCCTAACCCAAATCTTATCTCAAGTTGTAATACCCACATGTCGGAGGAGGGACCTGGTGGGAGGTGACTGGATCACGGGGGTGAATTTCCCCCTTGCTGTTCTCATGATAGTGAGTGAGTTCTCACAAGATCTGATGGTTTAAAAGTGTGGCTCTGTCCTCATTGCTCTCTCTCTGTCTCCTGCCTCATGTAAGATGTGCCTGCTTCCCCTTCTGTTATGATTGTAAGTTTCCTGAGGCCTCCTCAGCCTTGCAGAACTGTGAGTCAATTAAACCTCTTTTCCTTATAAATTACTCCATTATCAGGCCATTCTTTATAGCAATGTGAAAATGGACTAATACAATCATCTACCTGAATTGAGTTTGATATAATTTAGAAAACACAGAAAAATTTTCAAATTTTCCAATTTCCAAATGTGGGGAGGATTTAGGACCTTAGGATTCTAGTTTTCACACTGGAGTTTTTCAAACGTTCTCCTAATTTGAACTACCTTGTAATTTTTCTCTAAAAAGGCACTGTTCTAATGGGCACCAAGTATAGGTCACAATGGTTTATCTCGAGAATCTAATAGTCCAGATAATTTAGATTTCTCACTTTCTAGCTCTACTGAGGGAACATCTAACCTCTCTAAGCCTCAGTTCTGTAATTCAGAAGTGTTGATGCTAATATCTACCTACTTTGCTCATTCGTTTGTTAATCTATTCATTCAACATTTACACAGCACCTACTGTGTTCCAGGCACTATCAATGCAACAAGGAAAGAAAATAAATATTTTTTCTTTCATGTTTTAGATGAACACTTAGGATAAAGGATAATTTTTCCAGAAAATAAACTATTAAGTAACGTAAATATCAGAAAATTATAAGACATAATAATATAAAACATAATATTCTATTCTAAAGACATGGTCTATTCCTTTAGACTATTTTAAAGACTTTTTTAATGAATTGTAATGCAAACTTTTTGAAGACCAACATCTCTGTCAGTTTATGCATGATACATTTAGCTGAGTTTTAATATTAAAACTTTTAGCAAATTTCTTTGAAATGTTATGTGGCATTAATCCTCATCATCACTCACACTCAGAAAAGACTTATTCTGTGCCTGTCTCTTTATCTGGTTTACCTTGCTCAGTCTTCAGAGCAATACTACCAGAGGTCATAATTTTTTCTCTATTTTTCAGATGAGGAAATATTAGTTTAGAAGATTATATTGTATGTCACAAAGCTAGGAAATGGTAGAGAATGGAATGTATACTGCCAGATTCTACAGCTGATAATTTTGAAAAAAGAACTATTCCATTTATTTATGCATTTCAATGAGTTTTTTAATTGAATTCTTTCTTTTATAGTATGTTTGTTCTCTGTGAAGTGGGCTGTATCCAGTGGTGTGCTAATAAACTGGCTCTCCAACAACAACAACAAGAAGCACCAAATTATAATATTTGTTGATTTCTGTTGTTTAGACACTTCCTTATTAGCCAATCTCAAGCTATCTACAAGATGCCACCGAATGTGGAGCTGATAAGAAATGCACATAATGATCTCTTCCAAGCTGGTATAACTAACTCTAGCATACCATTGTCTGTGCTAGTAATCAGGTATTATATTACAGCTCCTTCCTAATAATACTGGAATTGGAATCTAAACATTTCTCCTTTACCATCTAGCTCTAAGTTAGGGTTTGTGCATAGAAGGTATCTGATGGGCACAGTACTGAACTAAAGAGCAGGAGGATGGGGACACTCTCTCTGGTTCCAATATGCTTTCCTAACACAGGAGCCAGCAGATTGATAAGCAAAAGGTAGCAGCTATGACAGGAAGTTTCTTTACCACTTGGTGAGTGGTTTCTATAAACCAGCACTGACCCTTTCCCTTTGGGGCATTTCTTTGTCACCCCAGCAGCTCATATATTCCTGTGGCACCCTTATCCTCCTCAAGAAGAATGTCAGCCTTGGATGGCAGTGAGGGCAATATCTTCAAAATTCTTAGCTCTTGTTCACTTTTCCTCAGCCCACATGTATTTGCCGCTTTCTGCATTTGCAATTTCTGGACCTCTTAGAGTCTTTTAGTACTTAACCCTCTACTGAATTCATCACACCATCCCACAGTTTAAATTATTGCTGTGATTTCTTTCTCTTTTTCTGGACACTGATTGATACATGAACTTAAAATAACCAAACAAGCAAATGAAAAGCAGGATGCAAATCTTTCACCTTTGACTAAAAATATTCCTGTGTCACCTCTGAGGTCTAAGTGAAGCCTTCCTTTGTGCTCTGCATCATTCTCCAAACAACACGAGTAGTTAGATCTGGGATTAATAATAAAATAGCAATCAGAATAATACTAATAATGCTAATAGCATGCAGTGTTTATTACATATGAAGAATGTGCCAGGATCTTTGCTGTGAAATAAATGATTCTAAAAGTCCTCCTTTGAAGTGTGTAGACATTTTAAAGATATAAAGATAAAGAAATTAAGGCCAAAAGACATGCAGTTAAAAGACAGCAGAGCCAGTGGCTCTAGAGTTTCCTCTCTTTACAGTTACACTCTGCTGCTTTAGCAAATGCTTTTCACCACAATTATTAAGATCTTAACTCTGAGGAAATATCTGCTAGAAAAAACAGAAAAGTGAATAATAACTTTAATTCCATTATGATTTATTCTATTTTTTTTTTTACTTTAGAAGTTGAGAAACTTCTGGAACTAAAAAAAATACAGCTGCTTTCTTAGTTTCTTGTCACAAGTTCCACTTGAAGTAATGTCTTAGAAACTAGCAAACCTGCTTTATTTTGTGAACCCTAGAATTTTCCCAGCTTATGCTAAGAATAAAAGAGCTGCCAAATTCATTAATTACCTTTAATATTCAATTTTCCAGTATAATGAATTCCATCTTCACACATATCTGAGAAAATTACATTGGAAGGTTAATATATTGCCTTTTGCTGGGTTTCAGTGAATACCTCACTGAAGGCAGAAGTCAGCCTGAAATCCTTGGCAGACTCATATTCATTCTTCTAGCCACCTGCATCAGGTGCCGACCACACTCATGCCTGGACATGCCCTTGGCCCTGCCACTTTCATACCGTAACCTAAACGCATGATGCCAATGGCACAATATAGTTACTGCTTTAGACCTTGGCAGTAACTGCTGCTTTAGAGCTTGTTAGTATCAATGGTACTTATAAAATATATCATCTACTTCACTCCATTCCCCATCCTCCTTGCACCTAAGCAGGGGCATGTGACTACTTATGGCGACTGGACTGTGGACAAAAACATTATTTTCAAAAAGAAGTACTGAAGAGTCACTCGTCGTTTTCCCTGCTGTGTGATCACAGAATATGCTGATGGCACAGCTACAATAGGGCTTCTCAACTTTGATACTACTGACATCTAAAGCAGGTAATTCTGAGTTGAGGTTAGGCATGCGGGTGTCCTGTTCAATTTAGGAGGCTTAGCAGTATCTCTAGCCTACACCAACTAGAAGTCAGGGTTATCCTCTCCAGTTGTGACAACAAAAAATATATTTTGGCATTGCCAAATATTATCTGGGGGAGGAAATTGCCCCAATTTGCAGTCCAGAGATCCATCGAGCTACAAGATAGTGAAGCCTCCATCAGCGTGGTTCTCTGACATGATAAATGGAGCTGAATATATCTGTCATCCATACTGTGTAACATAAGTGATGTTAGAACACACCCTCCCAACAAACATACACACAAATAAATACAAAAAAGGCAAAAACAAAAACGATAAAATTTTTTATATTAAGCCAATGAGATTTAGGAGTTGTTACTGCCATAAAGCCTATCCTGATTAATAAACACTCTATATGCACTTTTTCCAGACAAATTTATCAATGTGTGTTGTTTCAATTATCCTCTGATGATTGATTTATTTTTAAATTTTATGCCCGATTTCTTTTCTAACATTCTTAAACGTTATCCATCTGCCACCCTGACATCAACTAGTAGTGATAATAAAGGTACTATGAATGTGTATACTTTTTTCCATCTAATCCTTCTTTTCTGATACAAGCAAATTTGGAAAACTAGGAGTCATCCTCATCCCCTCTCTTTGCCTCATCTGGCAGCTGGAGTTTACCTCATAAGTATCTGAAACTCTCATCTTCTTTTTCTATACCTTCTACTACCACTCTAACACAAGCTATTATTACATCTGGTCTGAATCTCTTCAATAGCATCCTAACTCCTAGAATTAATTTCCGTATCATGTAATCTATTTTCCATAGAGCAGATAAAACAATCCTTTAAAAATGAAAGTCTGTCCGTACCATTTCTGTGAATATAACTCTCTAAATATTTATTTTTTTAATTGGTCTTAGACTAAAGACCAAAATCCTTAACGTGAACTGTTATCTGGACAGTGTTATACTCTAGTTTCATTTCTCACCTGTGTTCATACAGGTCCCTAACATTTACCTTCAGGATTTATTTTATATACCAAAAGTTGCCATGAATTTTGTCACTTTAGGTCCTTGTGCAGGCTATTTTCTTTGTTAGGAATACCCTTACCCCAGCACACATTGCCTCACCAACCCCTATACATTTATCAGATCTCAGCTCCACTTTCACCTCTTCAGGGGTGTCTTCTCTGAAATTCTCAAGTCATCAGACTATGCAATGACTTCGTTCCTTCAAAGTAACGATTCCAGTATGATTATTTATTAACACCTGTTTTATCACTAGACCGTAAATTCTATGAAGAGGGGAACCCATTTCATTAGACATTTATTTAATTTCCCAACACATGGTATAGCACCTAGATTACAACAGACTATAATATTTTTGGAAGGATGGAAGGAAGGAAGGAAGGAAACGAGGAAGGGAGGGATGGAGGGAGGAAGGCAGAAAGGAAGGGAGGAAGGGAGGGAGAAAGGAAGGGAGGGAAGGAGAGAAGAAGGGAGGGAGAGAGAAAGAAAGGAAGTGACTTAAAAGGACAATCAATATTTGAAGTTCTGTAAGGTAATAAAAAACAGATTTCAATCCATGTTTTCCTCTTTCACCTACAGAAAAAAGTAAAATTTTAATCAGTAAAGGATTACTCATTACAAAATATGGTATGTTTAGTTAATGTTGGCTATCAAGGTAAATGTTACAGAATTGTTTATAAATTTTTATATATAATTTTGCATTATATACTCAGATAATAAAGTATAATTCAGTTAATATATCATTAAAAATTCTTCCACTTTTATCAATGCATATTTCTTTTGAGTTTTCAGTTTTATTTGTGTGTATGTGTATGTTATGTTGTGTGTATATCACCACCAGTATAAGCAATATGTTCATGCCGAGTGTATCTAACACTAGCAAGACAATACCAAATTAATTTCCCATTGAAGTCACTGCATCTGTGTTTCAATTACTAAAATTCTAAATTTAGTGGAAAATGTAAGTATGCCTTCTTATTATCATTGCATTAGTATTTCTAGGAGAAACAAGAATAACAACTAAAGTGGTTATTAGGGAAATGGTATTTCAGAGTGAATTTATGCTTACCAAATATAAGTGTCTTATTCAGATGGCATTTATATGATTGGCTCTATTTTGGGTACAAGCCTTTCAAGATACGAATTTTCCCTTCAAACACAAATATACAGCCATAGCTTCCACTTAGAATCAATTCTTTTATTTTTAACTAGGCCAGGAATTTCTTAGGGTTTAGTATTCAAGTCTTTTTAAGAAATATGCTAACTGTCTTCATCAGGATGTTTGTTTTAAATATGTATGAATGAACATACCTTTGGTTAACCCCACTGGTCTCACAGGGCTTCCTAAGATCCTTTCTACCCATCCCTCTGCACGCGGAAGACATGCCCTTCACCTAACCATCCAGCCTAACGAGCTAAGGTCACCAATGCTCTCTTTTCTACGATGCCCTCTGTTTTCAGTCCAATAAGTAATTTAGGTATTGATTTCAACTAAAATTTTCACCAGGACTTATAACGAGAGTACTTGAAAGTACATTCTTCTCTTAACTCTGCAACTAGTAATTTTGATCTTTTTATTCAGGATTAGGGAATTTCCAAATGATTTTGAAATGGAAAGTGAACCATATATGTAAATACAGACATTTGGGATGCTTACATTTTTTAGAAGTTCTTTTTTTATTAAGTAGTCTATTGCCTTTTGACTCTGCATATTATTGCAGAAGCCAGAATGGTATCTTGGGAGGTAATGCACTTCTCATTCTGTTTCCATCTTGCATTTTTTAAAATGCTTTTCCTCTGCTTCATCAGATTTTGCTACTACTGTATATTGTTGGAGAAGATAGCAACCTTGAGTGCCTCTTGCTAAACACATATACTCAGAGTTGAAAGGGTATTGACTTTAAAGCAATTCCATTAAATAAGTATGCAAGTTAATCATGAACTTGGATGTCTCCTAGTAAACAGATACTATTTTTTCTTATTTTAAAAATAACCAAACTTGCTTTGAATGCAAAATAGAGCCCAAAATCCTACATTTCACATGTTATATTATTCTGAATAAGTATACACACACGCACATACACACACACACACACACACACACACACACACCAATAATGTATAATTTTTTACCAGCTTAATTGCTATTCATTATTTAGGTTTCAGCTCCAAGTGTGACTTTTCGAGAAAACTTCCCAGCTGCTACCACCAAAATACAAGTGTATGTTAAGATCTGTTTGTTTGTTTTTTTGCCATGTGCACTCATAGAGTTGCTGTCTTGTGATTTCGAACATAATCTCAGTTTGTCTTTATACATTTATTCATGTGCCTATATTTCATTAATGTCCCTCACCTTCATTAGGGTGTTGCATGTGGACAGAAACTGTATCTTTGTTTTTGTCCCCATTGTATTTCCAGAGCCAAGAAAAGGACCAGGCAAGTAGTGAGATTTGACTGACAGGTTTAAATAGATGGACAAATAAAGGAAGCATATGATTTTCAACAGACGATAATTTGTCTTCTTGGTGATCCTTAAATTGGCACAAGTTGGTTTCTGTTTAAGTTCTGTTTTAATATTTGTTTAATAAGAACCATATAGATGACTGTCACTCTTTAAGAGAACAATCTTTTTGTTTACAAAAAAAAAACCCCACAAACACCCTTTAGCCATTTTGAATGGTAACAGACTGTTAATCTAATCAGAATGCATGCAACTGTGGCTTATAAGCAGCTCTTACATGGAAAGCTTATTTAAAGGGCAGGATCTGAGGAATAAAAATGGGGAAAATCACTGTTTGATTAGTATGAGAGTAACTCTGTGTTTATAGGCTTATTTGATTGTTGAGTTTCTTCTTTATTCTTTCTCCTAAGTCCATCCTCTCTCTGCCCCCCCCTTTTTTTTTTTTTTTTTTTTTTTTTTTGGTATTTTCCAATCGTCCTTCAAGAGGAATCCTCTGATTTGAGAGGTAATAACCTCTGGAAACTGAGGTCTTGCTCACCTTCTGACCTTGTTTCCTTACAGATTTCTTTTTAGCAACAATACAGACCCTTTTAAGTAATTGATACCCTCAGTGTGGCTCTAAGTTTTCACTCGTTTAACTAAAAAGAACATAGGTGACTTTGAACATTTCTTCCAGCTCTGGTATTCTGGGCTATAGTTTTATGCAACATGGTGGCAAGTAGAAAGTCATGTGTAAGAAGAGTCTTAATACAATACAACTCCACTGTAAATTTACAGCAGCTTACATTTATTCAGCAAATATTTATTGAAAACCTACAATGTTCTAGGCATTGTGCTAGGCATGTCTGGCAAAAACCAAAGGAGAGAATACAGGTAAGAGAATGAGTTAGTCAGAATTAAATAATTTCATCATGGTCAAAGTGTTTGTGATGGTGGTAGGATACAAACTCACATCTGAGACATGGAAGATTTTGTTGACATCTCAAGCTTTTTCTATGTTCAAGTCCCATTTGCCCCAATAAATTTGTTGAATTGTGCTCCCTCTTTACTAGGAAGTCTGGCTGTCCTCATAGATGACAAGAGATTAGCATTCAGTACTTCTGGTATTGTTTCTGAGAATTCTGAGAATTTAGATACTGCCTGGTATGGTTTGGCTGTGTCCCCACCCAAATCTCATCTTAAATTATAGCTCTCATAATTCCCGCATGTCATGGGAGGGACCTGGTGGAAGGTAATTGAATCACGGTGGCAGGTCTTTCGTGTTCTGTTCACCATGGAAGACATGACTTTGCTCCTCCTGTACCTTCCACCATGATTGTGAGGCCTCCCCAGCCACATGGAACTGGGCATCCATTAAACCTTTTTTCTTTATACATTACCCAGTCTTGGGCATGTCTTTACTAGCACGTGAGAACAGACTGACACACTGCCTTCTTTATCATTTTGGAAGCATTCATGGCTAAGAAACGTTAGGCTTATCATAGATTCAGCATAGCAGAGAGTAAAAAGAGAAACATACGAAGAAACAAATAAAATCATAAAGCTTTAAATAAAATGCTGATTTAGTATCAGTTCAATATGATCAAAATACTTGACCTCATATGTGAGTTTCCCATTATACAAATGCAAAATGGTCAGACGTAGAATTTTTAAGGGTTGAATGCGTAGAATATGTGGAGCACATTAGACTTTTATGTGGAGGTAACTAAGAACCAGAGTGCTAACTTCCAAAGCACTAAATGCAAGAGTGGGTCAGACTTTCTCTTACTTAGATTTTTGGCAAGGTCTGAAGATGAACATTTGTTTGAGGGGTATTGTTTAAAATAGTAAATTTTTTTTAAAAAAGTTGGCTAGCTTTGGGCAGGATAAAGGCAGCAAAGTGAGAGAGTAGAAGAAAAAAGAGTGTGTAAAAAGCAAGTGGGATCCACACTAGTTCACCCATAAGATTTGATGCTGTCCTGAGAGGCAAAAAGCTTCCCATTATTGCAGGACTTTCACCTTAGTTCAGCCAAAAACGGGGTCCTCGTCACATGACCAGAAAAGATTGGGCTTGTGGAAACATAGAAGTGTGAGAAAAATGGAAATTATTGTGTGAAAATGAAAAGAACTCAGCAAAGCAAGAGAGACTCCTGTTAACAGGCCCCCATCTCACAGATTGAATTTCAGATTACCACCCCAGAACAGGAGAAGCCAGATTCCTCCCCCATGCAAAATGGCTTCCCCCTTGCAAAATGGCATGAACTTCCGTGGCTCCACGCCAGGGAGCACTCCTCCCAGTGGACAGGCCAGTGGAAGGTTCTCCAGGGACCCCTTTATACTTAGTTGTCTCACCATTGTATTTTGGGAATGAAATAACCAGTCTTTTTGCTAGGACATGAGCAATGCCAGCAGAGAGATGGTGGTGCTCATGGCTCATCCAGGTGCAGGGACTAGCCCTGGGACTGCCTGCAGATAGTCTGAGAGATGTCGAACCTTGTGGGTAAGAGAAAGCCCCTAAAGTCATCTAAGCAGAGACAGGCTGACAACCCCTAAGAGGCTTCCCCCTGTAACAGATGAGGCCATGGGTGCACCATTGACTGAGGAATGCATGTGAAGACTGGCCTTTCTGCCTTCGTATCACTCCTGCTAACAAATTAACTTGAAGGCCTAGCTGGGGTACACACCATACATCTGACATGGCATGTTACAAAAAGCCAGTGAATGATGTGGGTTGAGCATAGAGAGGTGAGAGCTCCATCCCTAGCCCCAGGAGGAGAACACTCCTCACTTCCAGGATAATATGGAAAATGTCCATGTGGGAGGAAGCATCAGAAAAGCATTCTGTTACAGGGGGAGTCTAGAGAGTAATGGAGGCTATCGCCTTGAAGTTGTATTTGCGGAGAAATTGAATAAACAAATCACTAAGTTATATATTTGTGTTCCACCAAATATCTCTAAAGATTATATTTGAAGGTCTCACATAATTTTCACATAAACATTAACGGAAGACAGTATCTACATAGTCATATCCTCAGTTCTATCAATTTTAGGTGGGTAAAATTTTTCTACAATTGTCTTTATTTAACTCAATCTTGAACATTTTCTAATCTTTGAGGAGAAAAGAATACAACATCACTTTGAAACCATAAGAAATAAAATTCTGGGGCATCCCAAGTTCATTATTTTCTGGAGAAAATCTAGCTTTCTTTTTGTTAGTGAATGGTTCCCCATCTTGGACTCTCAGAAATAAAGTATATGCCCTCCTGAACTTATATCTCTAACCTTAGAAATGTAGCCAGGCACTGCCTATCAGGCAATTGCTCATTAATTTATGTATTTAGTTAACTATAGAGAAAACAGAAGAACTAAACTAGAAGTTGATCCAATTTTAAATCCTTTCCACCATTTTCACATGATTTTTTTGTTGTCCCAAACAAAATCCTTCTTTAGGAAGTAAGTCAGTTAATTAGCTTACTAACCTCTACTTTGAAAGTAAAATTATCTAATTATGCTAGCCATCAATGCCCAAATAAATTCACCAGCAAAATAGAGGTTAGAAAATAACACTGTTGGTGTTTTCTATATATAATCAGAGCAGTTTTTGACCTTTCCAATTGACTGTTATAAAAAATTCAGTATTCCAGCAAATTTTTTTATATAAAATGGATTTATCTGCCTACATAGTATAATCTCCTATTGTATGCATGGAGTTTATGTCAGCTAAATTAAACCATCTGCAAGGCAAACCTTGTTAACATACTTCAATAATATGTATTTAATGTTTTATATAATGTACATGTATTATATATGTGTGTATCTGTGTGTGGGTTTGGATAATTTAACAAAAAGTTTTTTGGTAAATTTTTTTCTTTTTAAGCATCAAAGCATTTAAAGTAAGCTTATTAACTCCTGGGAAGAGAATTAATTGCCAAAGGTTTCAGAAAATTGTCGAAAGATTATTTTTTATAAACATACAGAGGGTTAATTTTCCGTGAATGTACTTTATTCAAGTTAATAGAGGCTACGTGGGTGCATCAATAATATAATATGATTCTTAATCTTTCCTCAAGTGAAAGACTGCATTTTGTGCAGTACAATTCTAATAAAAGCATTAACATTTCCAACAGGTAAGACCTATTAGATACTCTAACTTGTTCTTGGAACAATGTAAAATTATTTATGTTTTGTTTTCCCCCTCAGGGGCTTTCTCAAGTAAACTCTTTTATTCAAAAGTTACAAATACAAGGAAAAATGTTCTTGGAAAAAATATTCTGAAGCCCAGAGGATCCTTCAGGCATTTTTGCTCTCTCTTTTTTTTTTTTTTTTTTTTTGAGACAGACTCTCACTCTGTCGGGCTGGAGTGCAGTGGCACAATCTCAGCTCACTGCAACCTCCGTCTCCTGGGCTCAAGCAATTCTCCTGCCTCAGCCTCCCAAGTAGCTGGGATTACAGGAGTGTGCCACCACGCCCGGCTAATTTTTGTATTTTTAGTAGAGATGGGGTTTCACCATGTTGGCCAGGCTGGTCTTGAACTCCTGACCTCAGGTAATCTGCCCGCCTCAGCCTCCCAAAGTGTTGGGATTACAGGCCTGAGCCACCGTGCCCGGCCTGCTTTCTTTCTTGAAGCCCAGTCTAAGTTGAAGATTTTCATCCTCCACACTATTCCTATGCTTTGTCTTCTGCCATGTATTTTACACTATTTTATGTGTAAAAAGGGCCAGTGGTTTAGAGAGGTTCAGTCACTTTCAACATTGTAACTATTAATTAGAGAGGGTTTACCAGGAATTATGCTCCGTGATTTGTATAAAATGCTCTGATCCCTCAGATCAACACTCACATCTGTTTGTGTGCAGATGAAGAAACTGGGGATTCAGAAACCGAAAATAGATCACCAACAGCAAAAGCAAAAATAAGAACAATGATCAAAGAAATGGTGCAATTATTCAACTTCAGAGTCTTTCAGAATTCCACCATGTTGCATCTCCAGGAGGCTACAAGTGAGGTTGTTATGCAGAGGTATTCAAATATAGGAACAAATCCCTAAACACTTGGAGTCATTCTTTTGTTGTAGAAGTTATAAACAATAACTTAACCTGCATTCTGTTTTCATCTATAATTCAAGCATGGTTCCCTGGTATATCTCTGGGTTTGTAGTTCCTGGCTGGGTTTACGTTCAACTCTGCAATCAAAACTACAAATAATCTCCAGATACAAGTGTCGTAATATCTAAACTTGCATTTTGTTTGACAGACTACCCTTTCAAAAATTAAATTTTCAAGACCATACTTTCATTGAGAAAAATGCACACATGCAGATACGTACATACAAATTCTACACAATAAAGGTGTCCACAGCTTATGTAATAATTTGATATAATAATGAACTTCTCTTGCCCTTTCTGCCAAGTTCCTGCAGGCTATTTACATTCCTGCCTATTTATCTTCCTTTACCCACACACTTCCTCTTATGCAGATTGCTCCAGCCACATGGTCTTCTTGAATATAGTGCCATTTTTTTTCTGCCATTTTTTTCTTTGCCTAGAAAACACTTCTCCTAGCTCTTCAAATGGTTGGCTCTTTTTCAGCATAAACACTGTATTTTCAGAGAGGCTTTCCCTGATGTCTTAGGTCAGATTTCGCAGATGATGACTTATAGAGTATCCAACCATCTCAGTTTGCCTGGGATTGTCCCAGTGTGCACAGTGGGGCAAACTGAGACAGTGAGTCACCATAGATCTGTTAGGGAAGTGCTCCCAAGGGGTTTTTGCCAAAAGCATGGGGGAGCAAGAAAGGAAAGAAAATACCGAAGTTCAATGGAGGTACTTGAACTCGATTACATAAGGGAAATCTAGGGTGTAAAGTAAGCTCAGAGTTTTCCCCCAATGGAGTCAAGAGATTTAAGCTTCCATAACCCCACGGATAGTGCTCATCAGCGGTTAGCAGGTTGCCTTGCGGTGGCCATAGGGGAAGTAGATTTTCAGGGAGGTCTTTTTTTTGTGGGGGGCAGAATGTAGGCAAGCATTCCATTAGTCCAAAGGCAGGTGGCCAAAGAAAATTACAGGTGTGGGTCATTAGAAGTAAAGGCACACTGAAGCTGGGGAGGAGAACACAAAAGCAATCTTTTCCCATTGGAAACACCTTTTCCTCTTCAGCCCTGCTATATTCATTGCTTTACTATCTTCAAGACACATATCAATATTTGACATTATCACATGTGGGTATAGATATATAGATCTATATCTGTATCCATATCCACATTCATGTTCAAATCTGTCCATACTCATTTCTGTATATATGTGGGAATATTTTAATTACTCCTGCTAACATTTAGCTAGAAGAGGACAGTAACCCTATTTGTCCTGTTCACTATCCAATATGTGACAGCTGCTCAATAAATACAGGAAAAAACAGTAAGTTCATTTGGTAAACTATAATATTTCAGCAGAAATGAGTAACAGCATAGCCTGTGACTCAGCTGCTTTATCTCAATTCTAATATACCTGTTTATTTTTCATTTTCTTTTTATTTTCTACGGTCTTATTGAAAAAAATACAGTTCCTGCCCAGCCATTCTTTAAACCTCCCTTTCTATTTGTCCCTATTTCTTTTCCTTTAAAAATATTCTCAGACAGTAGAGTTTAGTCCTAAGATAATAAACTCTGGAGCATTCTAGAATGCATAATTTTGGAAGTTATATCTGCCACTTGCTATGTGTATGACTTTGGGCAAATGTTACTCAACCATAAAATGAGGGGTGTAGAGCCCATCTCATGAGGTTATAATGAGGGTTAAATAAATTAATATATTCCGAAGCAGTTAGGTAGTGCTTAGTACATGGAGAACACTTAAAGATTATCTACTCCCAATCGCTCATAAAATACTGATTTTCTACATTGACTCTGTGTCATTGTGGATTATTATAATTTATTTTCCAACAATTTCCAAAAAGATTCAAGATAGTTTGATTCTAGTCTGTTATTTTAAGTCATCTTACTAGAAATTGTATTTATAAAATCAGTTTTCTCAATAAGTATTAGAGTAAATTTATCATTCAAAAACACACACTCTCACACTCACTCACATTCTCAAGACACAAAATCTAAAAAGTTTTTATGTAGCTCATCAACCTCTTGGGAGAAGCTTGTTCAGAATTCATGGAAATAACTCTGAGGTCTCAAATGAGTTGGGGAACAGAGTGATGCATTGTTGTCTTCTCATTTTTGTCAGGCACTTAGAGTTCCCTTGATGGTTTATTACATTTAAGATGATTTTATTTGTAATTTGAGAAATGAAGCACTGTGATTACTTAAAAATGTTTTTGCTTTGCTAGTTCTAAAGATTGGTATACATTTCTTATCACTCTTCATAATATAATTTTGAAAAGTTTTATTTTTTAAAATTTTATACAATATAATGCTCTAGAGCATGAGCAACATTTTCACTATTTGAACATACTACTTGTATTTGAACAGTAAATGAGCAGACTTATTAGCATATTAACACAACCATTAATTATGTAACACCATTAGATGCGGATGACATGGTACCAGATTCTTTTGAAAACATATGTACTTTAATATATAGATTATAAATATTTGAGAAGCGGTATTAGTATACTATTTATGGTTGCAGAACTTAAAGACAGAGTGCTTACTCCACCTCCATCTGTGAGAGCTTAACAAGTCATGACTTCTGTCCATGTTTCAGTTTCCTCATCTGTAAAACGGAGATGACGATAGCATTTACTGTTAGGGTTGTTATAAATTTTAAATGGTTAAATTCATGGAAATAATTGAAGTGGTTTGGCATAGCACTTGACTCATAGCAAGTACAATTTAATATATAGTTATTTTTATTAATATATCAAAATCCTCTGGAATTCATTTTATTCATTCACAATATGAGCCAAATGGACTGAGAGCACTCCCCTGTATATACATATTTCTTACGATAGAGAATTTCTTGTTGTCCATTTGATAGTGCATGTATGATTGCTTTTTATTCTTAGAACAAGTTATATAAGTAAAGAGTGTGATACAGAATCATAAGTTTTGGGCTCTAATATTGACTTTACAGTATTAGTTATGTGCCCTTGAGAAATATACACTCTCTGTGGTTCATTTTTATGATCTCCAGAAAAGATATAGTAATAACTCTATAAAAGAGTGGTTATGAGTTTAAATAAAATGACATCAAAACAGTGAAAATTCTTGACAAACTTCTGTTGCAAAAGTTGTACTTATAATTGTTATGATCAATGAAGATGTATTCTTTTTTTAATTTTTGAAGTTTATATTCCTGATACACTGTTATTTCACATAGAAGTGTATCATTTTTAGTTAGTGTTCATAAAATGTTTAAATACTTTGAATTTAATGATCTAATCTCTGGAGTTATTTTCCTAGCCTAATATTCTACAGCAAGATAGCAAATAAAATTAACTCTGTGCCAACATCAATCTACTGCTAGTGTCTGCTTGGGAATGCAGTGAGTTGAGGATTCTGAGGTCCTACTTGAAGAGACTGTTGTGAGTCACTACACCTGCTATGGCTCTGGGGGGAGCCTGTGTTTGTTGTGCTTAGATTAAAAAGTATGATTTAGCTGTTAATAGGGAAGAAAGAAGGACCTTCTGGAAGGGATTTGGGTCCAAAGAATTACAGCTAGAAGAAGAACTTAAGTTCAAAGCATTTTCTCCTTTGAAAACCTCTCCAGAGGATTTGTAGGGTGGCTAATTTAGAATAAGACTGAGGCATCCAGGAAACAATGCCTAAACCCATTGCCAAATTTCAATTTCTGCTCCTCTTGCTATGGACAGTTACGATGTTTACTAAACCCAGAAGCGCAAACAGATAATACTTGAAAAAAAATCTACCTCACTGATGATTTCTGTAGAGGCCTGTGGGCTTTTCCATAAATATATTTTACTGCCAAATTGCATTTTACTTAATTCCTTTATGACATGCTTTGAAATAAATTCTTTAGAATGGAGTGGTGGGAACTTTTCATATCAATCTTCAAATACATTTAAAAAATATCAGAGAAACTCCCCTTTTTATGCTGAAATTCATTTGCTGATGATTTAAGCTCAAAACTTAAATGTGGTATTTAAGAGCCTAGTAAACACAGTCCAACAAATGCGTCTGTGAACTAATTATATCTTTATGCCTCATTGATTAGTATGTGCAGAGCTGGGCCGAGAGAATGTCTGGAGCTAATTTGTATGTTGTAACTTTAAATTCTTTTCTAAAGAGCCTTGTATAAACAGTAATGGTTGCCTTTTCAGAACATGCTTTAATTTAAATTCTAATATAATTTAAATATGTTATCCTCCACCACCCTGCCACTTCTCCAGACCTTCACTCTCCCTCACACCATCCAATCTTTATTATTGTTGGACACATGATGACACTCTCAATCTCAAGAAATTGATAACCTTTTTATTCAAAATTAAATTAGAAAACCATAGAAAATTCTATGTAGTTGAAACAATTCCTCATTACAAAATGAGGAGGTCATTGGAGACAACGCAATCTAGAAACAATGGAACCAGTCCTCGGTCTTTACAATGCAGTAGGACCAAAAGGTGCTTAGATCATAGGTATTTTGATAGGACTATGATTGGAAGGGTATAAATGTTTTCTCTTGGTGGTGATGGGAGGATGTTTTTTAGATTTTAGGGGGTGAAGAGCAACTAATGTATGAACTATTATTATATGTCAGATATTGTGCCCACATTTTATTTATATTATTCAAATTAATTAATCCTCAAAAAAGTTATCAGAAGTTTTATTAGGGCCTGGTGCAATGGCGCATGCCTATAATCCCAGCACTTTGGGAGGCCAAGGCAGGTGGATCCCTTGAGTCCAGGAGTTTGGAACCAGCCTGAGCAACATAGCCAAACCTCATCTCTACAAAAAATACAAAAATTAGCTGAGCATGGTGGCACGTGCCTTTAGTCTCAGCTACTTGGGAGGCTGAGGCAGGAGGATCATTTGAGCTTGGGATGCGGCGGTTTCAGTGAGCCGAGACAGCGCCATTACATTCTAGCATGGCCAAGAGAGGGAGACAAGAACCTGTCTGAAAAAAAAAAAAGGTTTATTAAATTATTATTACTTCCTATTGACAAGGAAACTTAGGTTTGTAAATAGTACGAAGTACCTGTGGTAAGAAAGGAAAAGAAGTGGGCTGCTGAAGGCTGAGAAACAAGGATCTTTTACCAGGAACTGATGGAAATTTCCTTGGGGCACGATATTCAGAATGATTAGCCCCTCCCCACTTAATTTGAGTCTGTAAGTCCTACTTGTGAAAATATAATTATTTGAGAAGAATATTTGATTGGACTAACTGAAGCCACCTGCCAACATTGGTCAGGTTGGGTTGGATTACCTTAATTGACAGCCCCGAAGACGGTAACAAATGAGGGAAGGGAAAAACACAAAAGAGCAAAAGAATAAAAATCATATTCTAAATGAGACCTCTGAACAGCTACTAATAATTTATATAAGATGGTACCCATTATAATTTTTGGATGAAGTAGAAAAACTCTCAGGTGATTGTCTGTTTTATTATATGTTATCAAAACGACTTCTCTTTTCTCCAGCCACAGATAAATTTTAATGTTTCTTTCACTCTGTCATCCTAAGACCAATATCGTATACAGAGATATGGGAAAACTGTCCTTTCAACGAATAATATGCGTTGCTGTCTATGTTTAACAATTACAATGACAACAAAAAGCACAGAACCCAGGTCCACTGGGGCTCTGGATTACAGCAACTGCTTTTTGCTATATTGCAGATTAAATTGGTGCCTTTAAGGAGGTCACTTAGTCACCTTCAAACCTCTATTTCCTCACCCATAAAATGAAAGTTATAATAGCCCTTTACTCAGTACCGGCAGAGGAGCCAATGCATGTGAAGCAATTAGCACTTTGCCTAATACATAACGTCCCACTGGTATCTATAAAACTATTTGGACGGCACGAAAGAAAGCAAGGCACTCAATCTTGGGGAAACCTCAGCTCAATACATTGATCCAAATTAAGCAATGATTTGGGCTGAAGATCAATATTTTAAACAAAAACTCAGAGTACTTTATTTCTTTTTACTCCTGTGTCTATTGCATAAAAGTCTTGTGAATTAGTATAAGACTATCAGCATTCATATCATTTCAGCCAAGGCATAGTCAAAATGTCAAAGCCTCTGTTTAATTGTATATATAGCCTGTTAAGTAAAGAAAGCAGTGCCAGGTATCATTAATAGCCATCAAGGAAGGAAAAGGTTGTTACAAACTAACATCCCCAGGGAAACATGCTGTAAAATAGAGTGTCAAGCAGCTGTATAAATAATCTATATTAACTACATCTTCACCTAAGTCAGAGAGAAGCCCAACCTTATTGTAAATTACGTCAAAAAACCCCATCCCAAAACAGAAAGGCTATAATTGCTTCTCATGTGCTAATATATTATTAGATATTAATTTGTCAAGTTTAGGGTGGAGTAATAATTTAAATGGGTGAGAAAAACAGTTACCTTGCTTAATTAAAATGGATAATAAATATTCCCTGAAAACAGTCTGACCCTCTTTCTTTGTTCACTGTTTTCATTCTAAAATCCCTCCAAAATCCAAGATCCTGCATTGTGTCAGTTAGAAATGGTGATCTCTGGTGATCTCAGTAACATTATACAAATTCTTTCTGAAAGGAATGGGCCTATCCTCAGAAACATCCCAGATCAGTGTTTGGGAAAAATGAAATTTTGTTATCAAGATGTATCTAAATCTGACACTGAAATTTGCACCTTTTTGGAAAGGTTTCTTGTTCTATTTGGGTTGAAAAATCAGTTTTCATGTTGAATAATAATGTTGAAAAGAGCAAACTCTGGTAAAAGAGAGACCTGGAAGTACACTGTTAAACTGCTTCCAATAATGAGAGAAATACAGAAGCACTTTGAGACTTTTAAGTCTTTCTCCTCTCCTCCACCGTTAAATCTCCAAAGTGCCTAAAAGTGTTAGATCTCTTGAACATTGTGAATGTAAATGGTCGTTGAAGATTGGAGAGGTAGAAACTTTTTTTTTTTCTCTGCTGAGTAATTATGTCAGTGGGGAAGTTCAGAAATGCAAATAAACCTCTCTCCTGCTTATATGTGTCTGTTTCTGTGTGCACAGTATTTTTACCTATAACCCTTGCAACAAGGTCTAGCATTTCCCAAAACAAGAATATTACTCTCAATTTGTTTCAGACGTGGTATAATATTTTCGGTTGTTTGAAAAAACTGTCACTTGGGCTGCAGTTTCTTTCTAGTATCAGTGATATGGAGAAACGTTCTGTCAACAAATAATATACATTGCTGTCTATGTTTAACAACAATGAAAATCACAACAGAAAGCACAGGAGCCAGCTTCAATTATTAGAGAAAACTATTGATTGAACAGAAGTCACCTAAAAATACACTTGGTTATTTAAGGAATGAAAGGTATCGTCACCTCTTTGAGTAGCTAGAAAACAGTACTATTTCCTATGTATGGCCTTACATATGTAAATGAGTAATTACATATGGTTTTAGGAACAAAATCACCTCAACCTAAAAAGGAACATTTTTCTACCTTGATATTGTCAAAACTTGTTCCCAGTCTCATTGATGTATTTTAATTCAATTTAACACAATACATCTAATATAACTCATTTTTAAGATTAATAATATTTCCTCCCCAAATTGTTAACTTTAAGTTTACTTTTTATTCTTCATGGCATCTGACAACATGCCTCTTAAAAATGATTACAACACCTTTCCAGAATCCCTGACAATAAAGTAAAAAATAACATTATGGCACCATCTAGTGACCTATTTTTCTTTTTCTTTTTCTTTTTTGATATTCAGCTCAAAAGCACATATTTCTATTGATTATGTAAAGCTAGGTGTATATGTAGCAAATGGGCAGCTAGAAATAATTTCTTTATACTATTACCCATGGATGAATCAAATTGATCTCAATGAAATAAAATTTCAAAAATAATTTCCTACCTTGTACAGTAGAAAGTGTTTTATAAGCAGGTTGATGATTTTGGACCTAACCTAGTTCTGCTAGATAAAAGTGAAATTATTGTAGGTGATGAAACAGGTAATGAAATTACTATACACTCATATTTTGAACTGAGTAAGACAAATCTATTTCTAGAACATGTTTTCATAAACAAATGAACTTTTTCTGTGTATAACAACATTGAAAAAGCTGATTTTCTCATACAAGTAATCATGATAACTTACGTGACAGCATCACAAAACCTGAAAATTTTGGTAAAAGAAAATAAATACCTCTTATACTACCAGATATAAATATTAATTTATTACATAGCTATGCATTCTCATTGTCAATAGCTGTGATAGTTAATACTGTCAACTTGATTGGATTAAAGGATATGAAGTACTGATCCTGGGTGTGTCTGTGAGGGTGTTGCCAAAAGAGATTAACATTTGAGTCAGTGGGCTGGGCAAGTCAGACCCACCCTTAATCTGGTGGACACAATCTAATCAACTCCTAACGAATATAAAGCAGGCAGAAAAACGTGAAAAAGAGAGACTGGCCTAGCCTTCCAGGCTGCGTCTTTCTCCTGTGCTGGATGCTTCCTGCCCTCCAACATCGGATGCCAAGTTCTTCAGGTTTGGGACTGGGACTGGCTCTCCTTGCTCCTCAGCTTGCAGACAGTCTATTATGGGACCTTGTGAACGTATAAGTTAATACTTAATAAACTCCTCTTTATATATATATATATATACACACGTATATATATGTATACGTATATATATATATATATATATAATATCTCCTATTACTTCTGTCCCTCTAGAGAACCCTAATATGATAGGTACGTATTGTTTAACATTATAATATGCAAATTAAGTTATGACTTATTTTTAGAATTCATAGATGTCTCATGACTTATCAATTCATTATAATTCTAAGATTGAATCTTAAATAGGAATGTATTGCATTTGTGTGTGTGTGTGTGTGTGTGTGTGTGTGTGTGTAAAAATTTGAGTTATCAGTGTATCAACTTACCTTCCTCTTTGAAATGTAGTGCTTTCTGTTTGCAGCGGGAAGTAGAATTTACAAAATGGAACTTGCTAAAATCATGCTTAAAACTAGAGCCTTTAGACTATGAAAGAGTCTAAGTAGATTCTGCTATGAATAAACCAAATATGTAGGGTTGCTTCTGTAACATGAAAGACATCTAAGAAGAAATTCTCACTGAGGATACTGAATTTTATACTTTTCCCAACTTTGACATCAGAATTTGATTATAACAGTGAAGCAGTGTCTATCAGGAACAATTAATCTATTTAAAATAAAACTCCAAAATAAAAATAAAATTGTAGGATTTTTTTTAAATCCATAAGTTTATAAAAATAGTTTTTAAAAAGTTAGGAATGATTGATTCTAGACTTTGTAAAAAAAATCCTGTATGTTTTTCTGTTGTATTCATTAATATAAATAAGTATAAATGCTCATTAGTGGTTTCTGATACTTATCTCCAGTCTCTTTTTCTATGGAACTGGCAGTACCCTTCACCAGTGTGGAAAAGGGAGTGGTTCTGTGAGATAAGAGAATTAATTTATCTTCTTGTCAGTGCAGACCATGCCACTCACCATCTGCACTGGGCCTGCTTCATGATCTTTATTCTGAACCGCAGAATGTACTTACTCAAGTATAATCTTTAAGTAACTAATCCTATCAATTGATGTCCATGGAAGACCTCACAAATGTCTATATTCTCTTCAAATCCCTGGTTGCTGAGTTTATAAGTTAATTCTGGGAATGTCTTTGTGACTTGACTCTTTGCATCTGCGTGTCACTGAAGGTGAGATTCCCTTCTATAATCACAAAGATATTGGTGCTGAAGAGAGAACTGCTTCAAACCCTATTTAAGATGAACAGTAATATATTAGTCCAATATTTTAAAAATTATAGAAGACGATACCATTTCCAGTATGGCTCCATTCGAGTCCTTTCAGAATCAGTGTTATAGTAGTGGGTAATGCGTAATCATTTTGGGTTCCCATCTGTCTAGAAGTTTTGATATTTCTTCAGCGCACTGAGTACCTTCTAATTTCATTCTGATCTTCAAATATGTAATTGTTGGGTTTTGGTTGTTGGATGCATTTATTCAAAGTGTTTTCACTTTAGAAACTTTCAGGGTAGCTATGCTGCTTTCTTAACAACAGAAATTAAACTCCCTAAGATTCAGTAAAGGTTTTATGAGCACAAGAGGGAAACACCATTGCCCCTGAAAATGGCTGATGCTGTGAATTTGATGACAAATTTTTGATGTTCTGAGTAGATGTCATGGTGATCATAGAAAGGACATTTGAAGCATAAGGGAATAATTTGAATACAAAATCATGGCCAGCATTGGGGAAAATAAATCTCTCATTGAAAGTATCAGAAATGAGTAGGTGCCAAGGAGTGTTCCACAGAAACAGAATGCAAAGGCACACCTGGTATTTTAAACTTTATGAAGCTCACTGCTTTCACTGTGACAAGTGAGAACACTGAGACAAAAGGAAAAGGCATGGTTGTCTCAAAGCACACAACTATAATAAAACTGGTACCAGAAAACTAAGAAGACACCATAGCATAGCAGTTGAATAAACAAATCAGATATCTAAAGACAATCTGGATTTGAATCCCAGGCTTCATAGACTTTAGTTCTGAAAACTTTGAAAGCACATTTCATCCCTATGAACCTCAGTTTCTTTATTTATTGAAATAAATTTAATAATACCAGTAGCTGAGAAAATTGTGCTGATTAAATGAGATACTACAGGAAAAGATCTTGGCACAGACACTAAAATCTAGTAATTGAACAATAAAATTTAACCAGTGTGGGAACCCGCTTTATAGGCTCCCATTATTGGTCCCTTTCCATTGCACTACAATAATTGTGCCAAATAACTAATATTAAATGAGCATTTGAAATAAAAAGCAAAATGTCTGCATGGAGGTTCTAGCAAAATATAATAAACTATTTGGTGAGATTGCATAACACAGCCTGAATTGGCTGATCTCATAACTTGGCCTAAAGAACAACTGAAGCTGGCCGCCTTTCCGTTTTGTTGTCATTATCATTGTTGTTATTTTCTAGGATAAATAATGGAAACAATGCCTACTTTAAGAATATCACTGAGGCCCATGGATATTATGAAGAGGACCTTTAAAAAACCGTGGGTTTTGTAAGCTAGCAGTAAAGAGCATTATGCTAACGGGGAGCCATATTTCTGCCTCAACAGGAAACAACCAACACAAAACAAAACAAAGCAAACAAGAGCAGAGTGAGGAGATCAACAGGAAAAAATATGTCAGTAAAGGGGGTAAGCTCCTTCTTCCACAATTAGGGAATATTTCTGCAAGTGCCTGCTGCCTTGTTCCTTACCGGAAGAACTCACAGGACAATGGACCAGATTCACACTATAGACTGGCTGCAAGTTTTTCAGAGCCAGGAGAAGAAGGGAAAAGGACCCTTTTCAGGCGGGATGCTTGCCTGAAAAGACGATTTGGGACAATTCTACTGCGGCAGAAATTAAAGAGGATGCCTTACTGCTTTTGAGATTGTTGCACATTTAGAATACTCGCAAGAAATAGCCTGAGGCCAAGTGCTCCCCAAAGTCACCCCTATATATATATTTGTGTGTGTGTGTGTGTGTGTGTGTGTGTTTGTAGTATATATGTATAATACACACGGAGAGAGAAATAGGTATACATGTGTAATACACACACAGACATGTATATATGGAGACAGAGCAAGAGAAATTATTTCCTCAGTAAGCCTCATGTATATTCCATAACTTTTAAAATTTTTACCATTTCAACAAATTCCAGTAATAGACTCTATATTTTCAGCTCCAACTCTAAGTGACTGTATCTAAACTACAGTTTATTTTATTTATTTAACAGCAGTGTGATGGATGCTGAAGATGTTGGTCATGAAAATAACTCTGTAAGTAGTCAAGCCATGCTTGTCTCCTGCAAGTTATGCCCGTGAAATGGGAAGAGACTTAGAGATTAAAAACATTGTAGCATTTGTCTGTGGGAGGGTTTTGACTTAAAAGGACCTGCTTCATGATTGTCACTATGACCATCATGTGACTGAGTGGCTTAAACAGTAGATATCTGTATTATCACAGCTCTGGTGCCTGGAAATCTAAAATCTGGGTGCCAGCAGAGTTGGTTTCCACGGAGAACTCTTTCCTTAGCTTGCAGATGGCTGCTTTTTGGCTGCCTGTTCTCATGGTCTTTTTTCTGTGCCTGTGCCTTCCTGGTGTATCTATGTGTTGTTCTAAGATCATCTTCTGAAAAGGAAGCTAGTCAGATTGGATTAGGGCTCACCTTACCTGCCTCATTGTAACTTAATCACTTTTTCTAAAGCCCCATCTGCAAATACAGCCATATTCTCATGTACTGGGGTTTAAGATGTCAAAACATGAATTTTTCAGACACAATTCAGGCCATAACATTCCACCCTCAACTCCTAAAATTCATGTTCTTCTCACACAAAATACATTCAGTCCCATCCCAGCAGCCCCAAAATCTTAACTCATTCCAGCATCAACCCTGAGTCCCGAAATCTCATCTCAACATCAGCTAAATCAAGCTTGGATGACACTTCAGGTATGATTTATCTTGAGGCAAAGTTCCTCTCCAGCTATGAACCTGTGAAACCAAAAAAAGTATCTGCTTCCAAAATACAGTGGTGGGACAGGCATGGGACACACATTCTCATTTTAAAAGAAAGAAAGCAGAAAGATGGAAAAGGTCTTGGGTCCCAAGCAAGTCCAAAAGCTGGCAGGGCCAAGTACATTTGATTTTAAGAATTAAGAATAATCCCCTTTGGCTCCATGCTCTGTCCTCAAGTGCAGTGGGGTGGCAGGTCTGCATTCTAGGCCTTCTGGGTACCATTATCACTCTCTTCAGACCTGGACAGCAGCCCCATCCCTGCAACTTTCAACTTTCAGTGGCTATCCTGGCATAAGACCCTGAATGATGGAAGCCTGACCCATTAAAACTGAGGAGAGGACCCCAGACCCTGAAACCAAGGAAAAGGCAACCTTGCCAGCCCTCACCTACCTCACTGTACTCAGTCTTTGGTAAGAGTATCAGTCCTGTTTATCTCTGAATTGCCTTTGGAGATTGATCTTCCCTTTTCCTGAAGGATAATTCAGGTTTAAAGCTCCATAGCTTTATTGTACAATCCTCCAGAATACAAGAGTCCAACACCCTTCCTTCATTTTGTTCTGTATCTTCCTTAGTAGAAGCTGGCAATGTTTCTGCTAGCACAAAACCATCTCTATTTTAGGCTTCTGCTGATTATATCCATGAGTTACACCCATAAACTGTTTATGGAGTGATTGTTCAGCCAAACACTTTGTATTCTTTCCACAAAATACTTCCTCAGTGTTTGCAACATGGATAGGCTGACAATTTCCAGATCTTCATTCCCTGGTTTCTTTCTGCATAACAATGTTCTTTTTCAATTTATCTGTCTTCTCTCACATTTTTTTTTTCCGTAAGTACCAAGGAGAAGCCAGGCTGTGTCTTCAAAATTTTGCTTAGAAATCCCCTCATCTAAACATCCACGTTTTTCACTTCTTAATTTCAACTTTCCACAAAACACTAGAACACAGTTTGTCCCGATTCTTTGCCCCTTGATAGCAAGGACTACCTTTCCTCTAGTTTCCAATAACACAGTCCTTATTTCTATCTAATACCTCACCAGATGATATTTCCAACATCAGGCTCTTCAAGGGAAGCTGGGCTTTTTCTAACATATACCTTAAAACTCCTTCGGCCTCTGTTTATTACCCAGTTCCAAAGCCACTTCCACATTTTTAGGTATTTGTTACAGCAATGCGATAGTACTAAAATCTGTATTAGATAGGGTCCTCTAGATAAACAGAACCAAGAGTATTAACATATGCATATGAAGGAACTGGCTCAGGTGATTTTGCAGCTTTGGTGAGAAGGCTGGATATCCAGGGAAGAGTTGCAGCTGAAGTCCAGAGACAGTCGGCCGGCAGAATTTTTTCTCTTAAGGGGTGGTCAATCTGGTCTTTTAAAGCCTTTTACTGATTGGATGAGGCCCACTGATAGCGTTTGGGTCTATGTCTCTGCCCAAATCCTATGTCAAATTGCAATAATCATTATTGGAGGTCTGGGGCCTGGTGGGAGGTGATTTGATCACAGGGATGGATTTCTCCTTTGGTGCTGTTCTGCTGATAGTGAGTTATCACACAATCTGTTTGTTTAAAAGTACATGGCACCTCCCCATTCTCTCTCTTTCTCCTGCTCCAGCCATGTAACACATGTCTGCTCCCCCTTTGTCTTCTGCCATGACTGTAAGTTTCCTGAGGCTTCCTTAGTCATGCTTCCTGTACACCTGTGGAACTGTGAGCCAATTAAACCTTTCTCTATAAATTACTCAGTCTCAGGTAGTTCTTTATAGCAATGAGAGAATGGACTAATACATCCATCCACATTATAAAGGGTAATCTGTTTTACTCAATGTCCACAGATTTAAATGTTAATCTCATGCAAAACACACCTTTACAGAAATATCCAGAATAATGATTGATCAAATATCTGAACACCGTGATCTAATCCCATTACACATAAAATTGATCATCACAAACTATTAATGGTTTTTCTCCACCACTGAATAAAGTTGTTACTAAGTAGATATAATTTCTACATGTGATTTTTATACATTAAAAGTGGCTTTTAGTTTTAAAAATGAGATACATTATATTTTATAGTAGCAATTTATTTTGATATATTAGCTGTGTGTGTGTGTGTATATATATATATATTTATACTGAATAGCCACGATTGAGTGACTTTGTGACAAAACATGTGACTGTTTAATTGAATACTAATATTACTATGTATTCAAATTTAATTCTAGCCCATTTTGAGCTCAAAGTACGTAAATATGTAGGCCAAAGTTATGTTATCTAATTAGGAATAGCAAAGATAGTAAAATATTTTATACTAAGGATACATAAGTCAATTGAGCCTTGTGTTATGGAGCAATTTGTAACTCTGCTAAATGAAACTGAATATGGCTGATTTATTGATAACACATATGATAGGTTGTGTTATTACAACCTTAATTACAATTTCTTCTTAAGTAGAATTTGCACCAGCCTCTCCAAATATCTTGCTTTTCATTGAATATTTTATGTTATTTTTTGATATGGTTTGGCTGTGCCCCCATCCAAATCTCAACTTGTATTGTAATAATCCCCATGTATCATGGGGAGGGACATGGTGGGAGGTAATTGAATCCTGGGGGTGGGTTTCTTCATGCTGTTCTTGGCAGCTTCCACATGGTGTTCAGCCTGTGGGTGTACAGAAGTCAAGAATTGAAGATTGGGAACCCTCACCTAGCTTTCAGAGGATGTATGCAAATGCCAGGATATATAGGCAGAAGTTTGCTGCAGGTGGTCCCATATGGAGAACCTCTGCTAGGTCAGTGCAGAAGAGAAATGAGGAGTTGGAGCCCTCACAGAGATTCCCCACTGGGGCACTGCCTAGTGGAGATGTGTGAAGAGGACCACTGTCCTCCAGACCCCTGAATTGTACCTCCACTGACAGCTTGCTCTGTGTGTCTGGAAAAGCCACAGACACTCAACACCAGCCCATGAAAGCAGCCAGGAGGGAGGCTGTACCCAGCAAGCCACAGGGGTGGAGCTGCCCAAGACCATAGGGACCTACCTCTTGCATCAGTGTGACCTGAATGTGGGACGTGGAGTCAAACAAGATCATTTTGGAGCTTTAAGATTTGGTTGCCCCACTGAATTTCAGACTTGCATAGGGCCAGTAGCCCCTTCATTTTGGCCAATTTCTTCCTTTTAGAATGGGTGTATTTACCCAATGCCTGTATCTCCATTGTATCTAGAAAGTAACTAACTTGCTTTTGATTTTACAGGCTCATAGGCGGAAGGGAATTGCATTGTCTCAGTTGAAACTTTGGATTGTGGACTTTTGAGTTAAGGCTCAAATGAGTTAAGACTTTGGGGGACTGTTAGGAAGGAATGAATGGTTTTGAAATGTGAGGATATGAGATTTGGGAGTGGCCGGGGTAAGATAATATGGTTTGGCTGTGTCCCCACTCAAATCTCACCTTGAATTGTAATAATCCCCATGTGTCATGGAGGGGCCTGGTGGGAGGTAATTCAATCATGGGGGTGGGTTTTTCCCTTGCTGTTTTCATGATAGTGAATAAGTTTCATGAGATCTGATGGTTTTATAAAGGGGAGTTCCCCTGCACATGCTCTCTTGCCAGTCACCATGTAAGACATACCTTTGCACCTCATTCACCTTCTACCATGATTGTGAGCCCTTCCCTGCCATGTGGAACTGTGAGTCAATGAAACCTCTTTTCTTTATAAATTATCCAGTCTCAGGTATGTCTTTATTAGCAGCCTGAGAACAGACTAATACATTTTTTGATTCAATAACTTTTCAAGTGATGCTTGTTTTGTTTGTAATATATTTCTTGTCACTCCTCCTAGTTAACTTTTTCCTGACCTTTAATATTCAGCTCATGCATTATTTTTCCTGTGAATATTTTCTCAATGTAGTCTCTCTCTTTTTTAGACTTGTGCAACCTTTCAGCCCTTACCTCATTTGGATCATGTATCATTTTTATTGCAAATAATTTTTATATATTGAATTAATTAATAAGAATTTATTTTTATTGCTATTGACCCAACTTTGGTAGAAAATATGTTGACCATTGCTTACTGATGTATGCACTGCCTTTTTTCCTTATTAACAGGACCCAGATTTTGTTCATAGTGTCAGTTTGATGAGTATGAACATATATTTGGCCTTCATTTTCCCCTATTTCTTTCCGTATGGAATATGATCAAGGTATTTAAGTGTGAGGAAGATGAATATGGACAAGAGTTAACTTGTAAGCATGAGGTTGAGAGAAATATGCTAAGAACAACGGGTCAAAAAGAGAGGAGTGTGAGGTATTGATGACAATGTCTCCTATAGATCCATACTTGAACAATCTGTCCCAAGATTTCCTGTTGCTCGTGAAAATATGAACTGAATCTTCTCTTTTCTGTTATTTGCAGTCAATATGATCCTGACTAATTTACTTACTCAAAATGAAGAAAAAAGTAAAAGAATAATTAATTGGTTTAAATTATTAGATATATTTAAAAATTATATATATACACACACACATATATACATACACAGAGAAATGCATTTCTCTGATTTCCTCTGTCATACTATTTTGCACAGGGACTTTCACCATTGCAACTGGAAAAATGGCTTACAGAATTTCCAGGTTTATATCCTTCTGGTTTAAAACTCTGCAAAAAGTGAACTGTATTTTCTTGATCATTTTAACATAAATCTCTGAACTTATAGATTCACATATCCATTGTCCAAACATCCACTCATATGAAGGAATGGAATACACTGATTGTTGTAGATATAAAATAAGATTTTTTTCTCCAAGCAAAATCTGGCTGTGAAGACTATACAAAGAACAATGGGTGCTGAAAGAATGTCAACAAATGTTCATTAAGTATATTGATCTAAATTTCTGAAAAATATAAATTCTTATTCTTCTGTGAATCCTGCATCTACACTGCATGATTTACAAAGAATACTATTATGATATCAGTATATATTTGCAGAAAAATTGTGAGAGTGGAAGGGATGAAATGAGACAAAGAAAAACAGAGGAATAAAGAGAAAGAGGAATAAAAGATAAGAAAGAGAGGGTTTCATGACTACGCTTTTTCAGGTCTTCAGTCCAGAATCTGACTAATTATTTTTATATTTTTCACTTTGTTTCTCATTGTTTTATTTTCCTGTGTTCAATAATAGGATTGAAGGCAGGAGAATTTCTGCTCAGTTACTCACACAAGGAGTCTGGATAATGCAATTATGATAACATAAGAATGGATTTGAGAGTTTACTGACACATTGAATTTGATTATCTCTCTTATTCACTTGATTCACCTGTTTTATTTTCTCATAAGTGAACCAGGAAGAAGCAGTTATCTCTAGAGAGTGGTTATTACGTTTTTGCCTAATATTTTTAGAGTCAAGTAATTCACAATTCTGATAAGGTTGGGAGATTTTGAGATGTTGAAATGATTGCCAGAAACAAACTCATTTAAGGAGTCCCTATTCTCATGTCACAAGTCATTAATTCAATAAACTAACGTCAGATCTTGAATATTTACCTGACCATCTAGAGCCCATTATTAAAATCAAACCTAACCACGTGACCTCCAATGTTTATGGACAGAATGGTGTGCATAACCTTAATTCTACTCAGCATGCAGCATCTCCCAGCTTGCTACTGAAACAATAATTGTCACGATTTTATCTGGGTAGACATGGGAATAGATCCAAATTATATCTCTTTCAATATTTACCAAAAAATCCAGAGAGAAAAAATGAATGAGAGTTCTTATTTACATTTATGCTATGCCGCATAATTCCAAGCCATTGAATAGCCCCAAATCCAATGGTCAACGCTATAAAAATGAAATATTTACAATTAGACTAAAACATATTATTCACATAGATTGATATTCTAAGATTTGAGACTTAAACAGAAGGATACGTCTGGAGGATTTTTTTTCAAAATAAAATGAATTTGTTATATATCTAAATAATATACTTGAGGCTGACAAAAGAGAACATTGCTTCTATCCATAAATGAAAGCTCTTTTCCTGAGAAGGTTTGCTAAATATTGGGTACAAATATTTTAGGAATAACTGAAGCATTATTACACATGAATGGAGATACGATTTTGTGATTCTACAATTTAGAGCTAGGTTTACAGTAAAATAATTCTTAGTAAAATCCATAAATGTTAGGAATAATCAATATTTAAAAACAACAAAACTAATATTTATACAGTACTTGCTCTGTGACAGACCTTACTAAAATGGTTTACTTGCAATGACCCAATTCAACTATTATGTACGTTCTTTTATCTGCTCATATTAGAGATGAGAATGGTCATTATAAAATCTCAGATTATTGGCTGGGCGCGGTGGCCCACGGCTGTAGTCCCAGCACTTTGGGAGGCTGAGGCGGGAGGATCACCTGAGGTCAGGAGCTTGACCAACATGGAGAAACCCTGTCTCTACTAAAAATACAAAGTTAGTGGGGCGTGGTGGCACATGCCTGTTATCCATAGCTACTAGGCAGGCTGAGGCAGGAGAATCGCTTGAACCCGGGAGGCAGAGGTTGCTGTGAGCCGAGATCATGCCATTGCACTCCAGCCTGGCCAACAAGAGACTCCGCCTAAAAAAAAAGAAAATATCTCAGATTATCAAAAAACAAGCACAAAAAGATGAGGTCCTACTGTGAACAAAACACTGTACCAGTCCCAAGGGTATAAAAGTGTGTTTATTGATTCAGGAACCCATAAGATTTGAATGTCTACCGTGTACCAAGACAGGGTACTGAGCACTGGAATAAGTTGAGTGTGCAATGGAGATTAGTCACATGTGTAAATAATTTCAGTACAGCATCATATATGTAGTATAGGAGACAAAAACAATTATTTGAAGCACAACTATGGGATCAATTATACTCAGGGAGGCTTCATGGAGGAGGTAACATTAGAATGGAGTGTGGAAGGATAAAGAGAATTTGATTCATTACAGAAAGAGGATATATTCATTCTACATCAGAGTTTCTGAAGGTTAGCACTATTGGCATTTTGGAACAACAAATCTTTGCTGGAGCAGAAGGACGAGGAAGGCTATTTTAGGCTCTGTAGTATACTTAGCAACATGTCCGCCCTCTGCCCACTAAGTGCCAATTGCAGCTGTCGTAAGTTCAAAAATGTCTCCAGACATTTCTAAATATTCCATGGGTATGGGGTCACAATTGATCCCAGCTGAAAACTGCTGTTGTACAGAAAAACAACATTTCCAAAATCAGAGTTCCAAAAACAGAGGTTCATCATGGCCATTAATTCTAAAGAAGATGGGGAAAGAGGATGCCAGGCAGAGAGCTACAGAGACAAGGTCACATGGAGAAAAGCCAGATAGCTACACACAGCGAGTTAGACATAGTCTCATAGATAACTGAGAGCCAAAGAAAAGCGGCATAGTCAGATTGGCTACATGAAGAACTAACTTGGACAATTCTGTGAAGAAGAGCCTGGGTTAAAGGAATAATACTCCCTGCCTCAAATATTCACTCTCTGAAATATTTGAAATTGGGAACTTTTTCTTATTTTGCCTTATTATTAATACCACAAGTGAAAATGAATGGTGTGTTCCTATCAGTTCAGGCTAGATGGGTTTTTATAGATAAATGCATCAAATACACTTATAAATTATCATCATCACCATCATTATCTTCGTTCACAAATATTTAGTTACTTACAGACTATAAGCAAGCTTCACTAATTCTTCATCTTCGTAGATATGTGAAATTTTCAGGTCTCTCTGTCAACATAAAAGAACTATCTAACACAAGTAAACACTGCCTTATACAATACAATTATAGTTAAAAGCGTAATGTATTTGCCTGTTAATTCCGCTTCTAAATTACATTTTCCGTATTGTCTTCAAAATTCTCTGAAAGTCCTATTATTCCCCTAGGTATTATTCTCAATACCGCCTTTTTTCTTGACAATTTTCCAAACGTGAAATTTCTTTCTTCTTGCCTCTTCTGAAGATTACAAATGCCATGACCCCCAATGATCCTGCACAGAGTGTTTCTTGTGTATGTCATGTCAACTGTAACAATGCAGTCTGTCAAACTCACCCCAGTCAGGAAGCCACCAGAGAGCATCCCAGGAATTTTGATATTTACTGCATACCTATGGCATACAACTTTATGAGTGCAGTTCTCTCTCGTCAGAAATGTTGAAGCAAGTAAGAACACAACAGAAATTCTCTCAAGTAATCTCTCACTTAATTTGAAAGGTAAAAGCAGATATGTAGAGGGTGTGTGTGTGTATGTGTAATGCTCTGTGAGAAATTGTATGAAAGTGTCTAGGGTATTCAGATATACTCAGGGGCTTCACCTTGTTCTTACTCCTGTCCCTCATGCATAAAATAAACTAATTCAACTTTCCCCATTCAATACACTGAGGTCGTTTAAAATCTTAGTGGGTTAGACCATTCATTTTTAGAACATAGCACTTCTATTTAATGCAAGAATAACCCCAGAACCAGATCATTCTGTCTCAGAACCCCATACCAGAACTCAGAATTTGTGGGTTCAGTGACATTTGCTAAATGCCCCTTGGGTTTTGGATGATCAATTTTAATATATAACGAGAAGGTAAAAAAGAAGCATATTCCTCTATTCTTACCCTGTGCTTTGGTCATTGAACACTGATTCTAAATTCATGAAAAGCCAGGTTCTCTTTCTTAATTTGATCTTCTATTTAAGGCATATAACTTCAGTGTTCTTTGGAGTCTGGCTGTGTTAGCCATCGTATTCTCTATTTAAGCCTCGTGTCATCTGTCAATTTGGGGAAAAAACAACAAAATAAAAAAAACATAGGCTTTTATACCTTCCTCAAGTCAGGGCTGAATAATAAGCCCAATGTGATGCTTTGCCAAGAAGTATTAAGACCTAAAATAATTTTTGATTATTACCATTCTCAGTGTTTTCATACCAAAAGTGAATCAGAAAATTGTGTATTTGTTGCAAAAGAACAGCAGGTGCTTTCAGGAAAAAGAACTCTACCTGTGTCACTATCATTAAAAACAGTGACTTCACGCTAGTGTCAGTTGCAAAGTCGTCTTCAGTGTCAGATACAATCATTGTGGAGAGGTGGTTTCCCTTGTTACAACCACTTCTGCTGACTCCATTACCACTACTCATGTATTTTTTTGTAGATTAATTGTTTCATATTATATGAGATGTGAATGTGTTTGTGTGTTTCTCTTCAAAGCCTTATTAATATCCCCTAAAAGAGTCTTGGTGTTATTTGCAAATGCAAATTCTTACGTAACCAAATAATAAAATTCCCTTTAATTTTTCAAAAACAAATCATAATACATTAATAAATACTAAGTACTTTTTTCCAACCATATTTCAATAGACTTCTCAGAGTCATCTCAATAAATGCTGACCAAAAATTCTGTGCAGTAGGTACAATAATAACCTGATATTGCAAAAATGGAGACTGGAGCTTGGTGTAATTAAGGTATTTGCTGTAAATCACATGACTAACAGCTAGCAGTGCAAGAATTCTAAGCCAAATCTTCCTAATTTCACTAATGAAGACCTTAACATATATGGTTTTTTTTTTATTATCTCAGGATGCATCTTGTTAAGAGGCTATAATGACTTTGTCTCATTACTTTACAAGTGCTTTGACATGAAGATCACTGTAGATGTCCCAGTACGATTAAAATAACATTTGTTGAAAGAAATGATTAGATCCCTTTCTTAGATGCACCCTACCATTTGTGTCAGCATGTCTCATACTGAATAATAACAGGCTCATATTTTAAAATTTAAATAATTTGAACTAATTAAAAGATTGCAAAAATATTACATAATTTTCATATACCTTTCATCTAGTTTTCTATGAAGTTGTTATGTAACATTATTATGTAACTACAGTACAGTTATCAAAGCAACACAATGTTGACATAATGCTATTATATCTACAGACCTTATTTGAACTTTTCCAGTTGATACAGTTTGGCTCTGTGTCCACACCCAAATCTCATCTCTAATTGTAATCCTGATGTGTCGGAGGTGATTGGATTATGGGGGTGGTTTCCCCCATGCTATTCTGGAATAGTGAGTGTGTTCTCAGGAGATCTGATGGTTTAAAAGGGTTTGGCAGTTCCCCTCTTGCTCTCTTTCCCTCCTGCCAACATGTAACATGTGCCTTACTTCCCCTTCACCTTCCACCATGACTCTAAGTTTCCCAAGGCCTCTCCAGCCATGCAGAACTGTGAGTCAATTAAACCTTTTTTTTTTTAAATAAATTACCCACTCTCAGTTATTCTTTACAGCAGTGTGAAAATGAACTAATACACTAGTATTTTTACTAATGCCCATTGCCTGCTCCAAAATCTAATCCAGGATCTCATATTGCATGTAGTTGTTATATACCCTATCCTCCAATCTGTGACATTTCTTAAATATTTATTTCTCATTCCTGGCCTTAACTGATTTGAAGATTATCAACTTATTATTTTGTACAGTGTCTCTCAGTTTGGGATCATCTGATGTTATTTAATGATTAGAGAGAGGCTGTGCATTTGTGGCAAAAATACCACCGAAGCAAGGTTGTGTTCTGCCCTTCTAGGTACTTCACAGTCAGAGATACACAATGTCAACATGTTTTATTATTGATAATGCTAACTCTGATTTTTTTATTTCTTTAGTTTAAACTTATTACTTTTCATTGTCATTAATCTGTATTTTGTTTGAGACTTTGAATGTACCTTCTCATTAGACTTTCACTTGCCAATTCCAACTGATTCAGATGTCTTATCTGCAGCAATAATCACTTGAGTATTTGCTAATAGTGTTTTGTCACTATTTTTATACATTTTAATTGGTATTGTACAATAAGAGTATTGATTGATTGGTATTTATTTTATTTTATTGATCATAATACATTATTTTCATGTATTTTCTTATTCTAATTGTCCAAAATTTATTTCTTGGAAATTCTTTCAAGTTGGCTTCCGTGTTCTCAGAATATTCCCCCACCATTTTGTACTGCATATTTTCCCCGCTCTTGTTTTGGTGTCGCTTCTTTCTTCAAAAAGTAATGGTTTGTTTTATTGGAGAATGGTACTAAAAAAAAAATACCAAGATCTGAGTGCTAGGTGTTCTCATTGCTAGTGGAGTACCATTTCTTCTAGGCTATCTCAGTTAACAGCACTCTATCTCAGTTAACAGCACTAAGATATATATGTGTGTGTTTTTAACTTTATGTGTCAACTTAATTAGGCCATGGGGTGCCCAGATATTCGGTTAAACATTATTCTGGGTGTGTCTGTGAAGGTGTTTCTAGATAGGATTCACATTTGAAATGGTAGCTTGAGTAAAGCAGATCGCCATCCCCATTGTGGATGGGCCTCATCCTATTCACTGAAGGACCAAATATAACAAAAAGACTGAGTAAGAGAAGAATGTATGTGCTGTTGTTGTTGGCTAGAGGCAATGACAGCATTCTGTATATGCCTTTCAGAAGTCCTCCATTTCCTTACTTATCTTCTGATTCTTCAGTCCATTATTGATAGAGGGGCATTGAAGATTCCCACTATTATTGCAAAGTATTTTTTTAGTTCTATCAGATTGTCTTCATATATTTTTACAGTTATTAGGTGAATAAATGTTTGCAATTGTTATATCATCTTGCTATACTGAACCTTTTATTAATATGTGTCTCTTACAACCTTTGTTAATTCAAAGTCTATTTTGCACCCTTGCTCTCTTTTGGTGACTATTTCCATGGAATATGTTTTTCTTCATTTTACTTTCAGTCTTTTGAGTCTGTGAATCTAAAGTGAGTCTCTTGTAGACAGCATTTAGTTGGATCTTTTGTCTGTTTGCTTGTTTTTGAGACAGAGTCTCGCTCTGTTTCCCAGGTTGGAGTGCAATGGTGTGATCTCCGCTCACTGCAAGCTCTGCCTCCCGCGTTCACGCTATTCTCCTGCCTCAGCCTCCCAAGTAGCTGCAACTACAGGTGCCCATCACCACGCCTGGCTAATTTTTTGTATTTTCAGTAGAGATGGGGTTTCATCATGTTAGCAAGGATGGTCTCAATCTCCTGACCTCGTGATCCGCCCGCCTTGGCCTCCCTAAGTGCTGGGATTACAGGTGTGAGCCAGCGTGCCCGGCCGGATCATTTTTAAAAAATGCATTCTTGGTATCTCTGTGTTTCAACTAGAGAGTTTAATCCATTTATATTTAAAACAATTACTGATGAGGAGGAACTTACATCTGTCATTTTGCTATTTGTTCACATATTTCTTGTAGCTTTTTGGTACCTTATTTTCTGCATTACTATATTCTTTTAAATTTAGTTGATTTTTTATAGAATACTTAAAAAATTTCTTATTTCCTTTTGTGCATGTTATACAACTGTTTTCTTTGATGTCACTGTGAAGATTATATTTAATATGCTAAAGTTATAACACTCTCATTTGAATTTATACCAGCTTAACTTCAATAACATACAAAACCTCTACTCCCTTACAGGTCTGTTCCTGTCTCTTAGTTGTTGATGTCACAAAATTACATGTTTATACACATTTTTGCCCATAAATGTAAAGTAATATTTCTTTTAAGTGCATTAGGTTCTTAAATTATGTAGAAAAACAAAATATGAAGTTACCAGAGTTACAATAATATTAGCTTTTAGACTAAGAATTTTTTTAAAATTATTTTTACATTTCTTTTAAATTTTTTAATTGATACATTGAATTTGTACATATTTATGGGGTGCAATTTGATGTTTCAACACACATATACAATAATCAAATTATGCTAGTTAACATATTAATCACCTCATACATTTATCATTATTTTTGGTGAGTACATGCAAAGGCTTCTTTTCTAGCTATTTTGTAATATGCAATGTTATATTGTTAACCATAGTAACCCTACTCTATAATAGAATAATGGAATAGGAGAACCTCTTTCTCCCATGTAATTGTAACTTTTTGTTCATTGACCCACCTTTCTTTATTCACCCTTCCTCCTCACCTTCTCAGTCCCTAGAAACCACTGTTCTACTCTCTGCTTCTATGATAGCAACTTTTTCCTTTTCATTTCATATACAACCGAGATCATATGTATTTGTCTTTGTCTGATTTACTTCACTTAACATCATGTCCTCCAGGTTTATCTATTTTGTCACAAATGACAGTATTTCATTCTTTTTTATGACTGAATAATATTCATTATTCAAAATAAACAACATATTTTTATCCATTCATCATTGGACACTTGATTCTAAATCTTGGCTATTGTAAATAATTTTAAATGTTTAAATAAATACTAAATAGTATTTATTTAATAGTATTTATTTAAATTTAATAATTTATTAATAATCATTAATTATTAATAATTTTTAATAATTTAATTAAATTTAAATTTAAATTTTTAAATTAAATTAAAATAATTAAATTAAATTAAAATTTTAATTTAAAATAATTAAATTAAAATTTTAATTTAAAATAATTAAATTAAAATTTTAATTTAAAATAATTAAATTAAAATTTAATAATTATTAATAATTTATTAAATAAATACTATTAAATACTATTTATTAAATGTTTAAATAAATACTAAACATGGTAGTGCACATATTTCCTCAACATACGGATTTCATTTTTTAAACATATGCCAAGTAGTGAGATTGCTGGATTATACGGTATTTCAATTTTCAGTTTTTTTTGAGGTACCTCCATACTGTTTTCCACAATGACTACCAATATACAATCCTACCAACAGTGTGCAAGTGTTCCTTTTTCTCCACATCTTTGCCAACAGTTGCTATCTGTTGCCTTTTTGATAATAGCTACCCTAACTGCTATGAGGTAGAGTCTTATTGTGGTTTTGGTTTTCATTTCCCTGACAATTAGTGATATCGAGCTTTTATTCATATACCTGTTGGCCATTTGTATGACTTTTTTTTGAAAAATGTCTATTAAGGTCTTTGCCCAATTTTAAATCAGATTTTTATTATTATTATTGAGTTGTTTGGAAATGAATCTTTGCCCAGCCCAACATCATCAGCATTTCCCCAATGTATTCTTCTAGTTGGTTTATAGTGTGAACTTTTACATTTAAGCCTTTAATTCATTTTGAGTTGGTTTTTGTGCATGGTGAGAAGTAGGCATCTGGTTTCATTTATCTGTATGTGGATATAAAATTTTTCCAGCACCATTTACTAAAAAGACTCTATTCCCTCTAATGTTGGTTCTTGGCTTTTGTTAAAAATCATTTGGCTATAGGTGCATGAATTTATTTCTGAGATCTTCATTCTATTCCATTGGTCTATGTATCTGTATATCTTGTTGAGAATATTTGCATCTGTGCTCATCAGGAATACTGCCCTGTAGTGTTGTTTTGGTTGCTGTGTCCTCATCCGATTTTGGAATCAGAGTAATTCTGGCCTCATAAAGTGAGCTTAGTTGTATTCCTTCCTCTTCAGTTTTCTGGAGTGGTTTGAGAAAAATTGGTATTAGCTCTTCTTTAAATGTTTGGTAGAATTCAACAGTGAAGCCATCAGGTTCTAGGCTTTTTTTTTTTTTTTTGAAGACATTTTATTACTGAATTAATTTTCTAATTCATTATTGGTCTATATAGAATTTTTACTTCTTCACAATTTAAAATTGGTAGGTTGTATATGTTTAGGAATCTATTCATTTCTTATACGTTATAAAATTTGTAGATGTATAGTTGTTTATAATAAACTATTGTGACTCTTGGTATTTCTGTGGTGTCCATTGCAGTATCTCTTTTTCTCTGAATTCATCTCTTTGAATATTGTTTTCTTTTTCTTAGTCTACCTAAAAGTGTTTTGATTCTTAACATTTTTTTTTGTAAAAAAAAGAAAAACAACTCTCCATTTTGTTGATCTGGTAATATATTTTTAAGTCTCTATTTCATTTATATTGGCTCTGTGCTTTTTATTATTTCCTTCCCTCTATTGATTTTGGGCTTAGTTTCCTTTTATTATTTTTTTTTATTTTCTAATTCCTTGAGGTACATCATTAGGTTGTTTTTCAGAAGCCTTTTTTTCTTATTAATATAGGCATTTATTTCTATAAACTTATTTTTTTCTGTGTCTCGGAGGTTTCTGTGTTATGTGTTTCCATTCTCATTTGTCTCATGAAATTTTTAAGTTTTTTTAAATTTATCACTGGCTTATTGGTTGTTTAGAAGCATGTTTAATTTCCATATCTTTCCAAAGTTTTTCTTGTTTTAATTTTATACTTTGTGGTTGGAAAAGATACATGATATGTTCTCTATCTTTTAAAATTTGTTGTGAATTATTTTATGGCCTACCATATGATTTATCTTGGAGAATATTCCGTGTGCAGTTGAGAAGAACATGTGCTCTGCAGCTATTAGATAGCATCTTTTGTAAATGCCTATTAGGTCCATATGTTCTATGGTGCAGATGAAGTCCAATATTTCTTTGTTGAGTTTCTGTTTAAATTATCTGTCCATTGTTGAAAGTGGGGTAAAGTCACCTACTATTATTGTATTGCGGTCTGCTTTTCTCTTTAGTTCTAGGAATACTTGCCTTATATATTTGGGTGTGCCAGTGTTGGGTGCATATATATTTATAATTGTTACATTCTCTTATTGAAATTATTCCTGTATTATTATATAAGGACCTTTTTTAATCTTTGTTTTTACAGTTTTTGACTTAAAGTCTATTTTATCTGAAATAAGCATGGCTACTTCTGCTTGCTTTTGGTTTACATTTTCATGGAATTTCTTTCATCCCTTCACGTTCAGTCTATATTTGTCTTTAGTGGTAAGAGTCTCATCTAAGCTGCATATAATTGGATTTTTTAAAATTTCATTTTCCAGTCTATGTCTTTAAGGGAAATTTAATTCACTTACTTTCAAGATTATTACTGATAGTTCAGGATTTACTCCTGTCATTGTGCTAATTGTTTTGTCATTGTTTTTTATTTCCTTTGTTTCTTTGTGCATCCTTATTGTTTATCTTTGTGTTTTGGTAATTTTCTGTAGTGATAAGTTTTGATTCCTTTCTATTTCTCCTATGTGTATGTGCTCTAACAGTGAATTTTATAATTTTGCATGCTTTTATGATGGTGATTATCATATTTTCACATTCAGATATGGGACTCCCTCAAGCATTTCTTTTCAGGCCAGTCTAGTGCTAATGAGTTTTCTTAGTTTATGCTTGTCTGGAAAAGACTTTTTTTTCTGCTTTCTTTTCTTCTATCTTTTAATTGTTGAAATTAATTCATTTACATTCAAGGTTGTTACTGATAGGTAAAAATTACTTCTGCTATTTTAATTTTTTTCTGGTTATTTTACAGACTCCTTGGTCTTTTCTTCCTCTCTTGTTTACTTCTGTGGTTTGGTGGTAATGCTGCTATGCTTTCTTTTCTTTTTTTTTCTTATTTGTGCATCTGCTGCAATTTCTTTCTTTGCAGTTACTATGGAACCAACGTAAAAAGTCCTGTAGTTATAATAAACTGTTTTAAGCTGATAACAACTTAGTTACACAAAAATATTCTAGACTTTTTATTTACCTCCCCACAGGTTGTATTTTTGTTGCCTTAATTTACATCTTTTTCTATTATGTCTTCCTTAGCCACTAATTGTAGCCATTGCTTTTATCATTTTTACTTAAAACTTTCATACGAGAGGATTGCCCTATTCTGGTATTGGTATATTTTGAGTTTGATAATGAATTTATCTCTACTAACGAGTGTTTTGGTTTAATGTGTTCTGGTGATAGTAATTATCATCCTTTTATCTCCAGTTGTAGCACTAACTTAAGCATTTCTTATAAGGCCAGTCTAGTGATGATGTACTCCTTCAGCTTTTATTTCTCTAAGAAGGTCTTCATTTCTTCTTTATTTCTGAAGGACAGCTTTGCTGGGTATAGTATTCTTGACTAAATTTTTTTTTTGGCACTTCGAATATATCATTTCATTGTCTCTTGGCCTGTGAGGTTTCTGTTAAGATATCTGATAGTGTAATTAAGATTCCTTATAAATGACTTGATACTTTGCTATTATAGCTTTTATAATTCTCTCTTTGTCTTTGGATTTTGACAGTTTGATTATAATGTGCCTTAGGATCCTTTTGGGTCTAATCTAATTGGTAAATTTATACTTTTTGCATCTTAATGTTCATATCACTCCCAAGACTTGAAAATTTTTACCTATTATGTTGTTAGTCTTTCTATGCCTTTTTCTGTCTCTGTTATTCTTAGAAAACATGTTTGCTTAATGGTGTTCCATAAGTTCCATTGGATATCTTCATTACTTTTTAGTTATATTCCCCTCCCTCCCTCCTGGACTGGGTTATTTCAGAACATCCTTCTTCACGTTTAAAAATGATTTCTTCTGCTTGATCAAGCCTGTTTTTGAAACTATCAGTTGTATTTTTTAAAATTTCATTCATTAAATTCCTCAGCTCTAAGATTTATCTTTGGTTCTTTTTCATGATATCTATCTCTGTTGAATTTCTCATTCTGATTATTATTTTTTTCTGATTTTATTGCATTGTTTGTATTCTTCTGTATCTTTCTGAGTTTCATATTTTGAATTCCTTTTCAGATATTCTATAAATATCCTTTTCTTTTAGGTGTATTACTAAAGTCTTACTATCTTGTTTTAGTAGTATCATATTTTCTTGTTTTATTATGCTTCTTGTGTCCTTATGTTAATGTCTACACATCTAGTGAAATAGCCTATTTTTTCTATTTGATGGAGTAGCTTTTGTAGGGAGAGACTTTTTTCCTGTAGAAGGGTCCTAAAATGTCAGTTGAGTATGATGCAGTGGTTTGCTTGTGGGTTTACTAAGCCTGGTTTCCATGCAGTTTCTTCAGCCATAATAGTCATCTGTAATGCCTGTGATTTTTCTCAGTGGTCTAGGCTGTGGATTTTGTGACAGTGGTGGTGTGATTTTGCTTGTAGCTGGGGCACTAGATTGATTGTGGTTTCAGAGTTGTGCAAGATTTATGGGCTGACAGACTCTGCAATAGGCTCTCTGAGGAGGAAAGGCCACCCCTGGACTGTAAGTCCAGATATGAAAGGGCATAGGAACAGCAGATCAGGTGGCTGTGCAATAGGATCCCTAGGGAGGCAAGCCACCACCAGACTAGCTGTTAGGCCAGGCTTGGGTGCACACGCGCATGAGGCCTTGGCTAGCTTTTCAGTGGCTGCCCTACTGTGCTTTTTCATTTGTTCCTCAGTGGAGTAGTGTGCCAAGTGGGTTTGGACAACAAGGCTCACTTTTATTTTGTTGTTGAGCCTAGACTTCAGTCAGCCATGATTGTGCTGCTATACACTACTGTGTGAATGTCATGGAATAATGGTGGGGCCTTTGGGATGAAGATTTAGTGACTACTGATGACCAGTACAGGACATACTCTTAACAGTAGGTTTGGTTTCAAGATGATACTGTGCTGTAGCAGCTTAGTTCATAGGGGTGAGAGTATGCTTAATATAGGCTCTAACTCTGAGGAAGTGCTGCCATGCAAACTCCCACAACTCTCCAAACTGAATTTGGGGCCTGAGGACTGGAAGAGTCTCCTTTAGCAAGGATTGCTGACATCTGTGGTGGCAGTGGAGACCTCTAGGGGTCTCTATCTTAGCTTTTTATTGCAATAACAAGTACCCCCTGACTCTAAGCCAATTCCAGCAGCGAAGACAATGTGCCACAGTCTGGGTGTCTTCTTTTCTTCTCTACGATGCTAACCTGGAATTCCATGCTCCATAGGAATTTTGCTACTCCCCTGGTTCTCTCCAGCATACTTCCTCAGTAATTTCAGTCAAGATCTATTTATTTATTTGTTGCTTTGATCTCCTTTATTATGTGGTGGGAGATAAGCATCAGGCAACTCCAGTTGGCCACCTTACTGATGTCACCTAGAATTTTTAAAATGTTTCTTGTTAAATATATTATCTCTTAAATCATTTTTATAAAGAAGTGGAGCTACAAACTGAGGCAATGCAGCTGTGCAAACTCCTGTCAACTCTCAAAACTGAGTGTAACACAAGCTAAAATTGTTATAATAATAGTAGTTTTTATAATTGCCCATGGATTTACCTTTATTGCAATCTTTATTTTTTTTAAATGGCTTTGAGTTGCTGTGTAGCATACTGTCATTTCACCATGCAGGATTCCCTTCAGCATTTCTTTTAGGGAAGTCCTAGTGGTAGCAAATTTGCTCAGCTTTTTCTAAATCTGGAAATGTCTTAATTTTTTCCTCATCTTTGAATAACAGTTTTATTAAATATAAGATTTTTTCTTTTAGCACTTTGAGTATATTAGCTTGCTGCATCATGATTTTAAGTTTCTTGTGAAGAAACTGCTGATAGCATTATTGAGAATCATTGTATATAATTACTCGCTGTCTGTCTTGTTGCTTTCAAGATTCTTTGTCTTTCTCTTTGTAAATTTTGGTTATAATGTATATTGGTGTAGGTCTCTTTGAGGTCATCTTACATGGAATTTGTTGAGCTTCTTGGATTTAATATTCATGTCTCTTATTAAATTTGTTGTGTTTTCATCTGTTATTTATTTGAATATTATATTTTCTCCTTTCTTATTTTCTTTTCCTTCTGGGACTCTCAAAATGTGTGTTAGTTCACTTGATGATGTTTCATAGGATCCTTAACTTCTGTTAACCTTTTTCAATCTTTGTTCTTTCTTTTCTTTAGATTCAATTTTTATTGTCCTGTTTTCAAGTTCTCTGATTCTTTCTTCTGTCTGCTCAATTATGCCTTTGAATCTGTTATGGTTTGAACATGGTTTATTTTTCCTCTTCAAATCTAGCATTGAAATTTGATCCCCAATGTTGGATGTCGGGCCTAATTGCAGGTGTTTGAGTTGTGGGTGTAAATTACTCATCAATGGCTTTGTGCCATTCTCGTGTGCATAAGTTCTCACTCTTGGTTCCCAAAAGAACTGGCTGTCTTCAAGAGGCTGATTCCTCCTCTTTCCTCTCTTGCCTTCTCTCTCACCATGCAATCTGCCCACACTCATTCCCTTTCCCCTTCTGCCATGAGTGGAAGCAGCCTGAGATTCCCATCAGAAGCAGATTTTGGCACCCTGCTTCTTGTATAGCATGAAAAAAAATGAGCCAAATAGACTTTTCTTTATAAATTACCCAGCCTCGAGTACTTCTTTATAGAAACACAAATGGACTAGGACAAAATCCCATTAGTGAATTTTTTATTTCAGTTATTGTATTTGTCAGCTTCAGAACTTTATAAAGTTTATTTTTAGGTTTTCTGTCTCTTTATTTCATTTTCTTAACTTCTGCCACATCATTTTTTTAGTTCTTTGAGCATCTTTAAGAGAGTTGCTTTAAAATTTTGTCTAACAGACTTGCCATTAGTTCTCATTAGGGGTAGTTTCTGTTGATTTCATTTTTCCTTGAAATTGGCAATGCTTGTCTCTTTCTTTATAAGACTTGTGAGTTTTTTTAATAAAAGATAGCTGTTTGTATCCGATAATGTAGCGTAATTCTGGAAATCAGATTCTCTTCCTTCCCTAGGGTTTGTGTTTTTTGTTATTCTTTGTTGTTTTGTATTATTGATTGATTGATTGATTGATTGTTGTAGGTTGTCCCTGTGCCAGGATCAGTATGAGGTGTAAACTTAAGATCCTATCAGCTGTTTTCTGAGTCTGTGACTTTTCCCTGGGTATACACAGTCACTTTCTAATTTTCCCCATGGATGCAGCTGCTTTTGAATGTCCTACTCTTTAAGGTCTTACTCCTAAAAAGGGAAAAAGGGGAGAAAAAATCCTAGCCCTTTAAATACCCCAAAAGTCATTTCAACGGGAAGGGGAGTGACTTGAAACAATGAGGGGAGGTGTGACACAAATGGCTGCCCATCTATTAAATCTCCCTTTATCTGATGAACTTTTGTCTCTGCCTGTCCACAACTAGATCCTGTATCTCTTCTCTCTGGAAATTAGCTCACCATAGCACTCCTTATTCATTAGCTATGTTTGATTTTTATATTTTCTTGATTTTACTTGGGTTATTTTTGTCTTCTGGTTCTTTCATACTCTTCCCGGAAGTAGCATTTTTACTTCTGTGCTTTTTGAGGAAAAAAACAAACAAACCATAATCCTACCCAGTCTGGGACCAAGGAACAAAGCTAGACAAAACACGAATCTCTTAAAATTGAAAGTTTGTATGCTTAATTGGAGAATAACGGAGGTAAATAAATATTTTGATTTATAATTGTTTTGGTGAAGTGTACATGTTCAGGAATACTCTTCTGTCATTTTTGGTTTATACAATCAAGTTTCAGTTCTTTATGTCTTATAATTATATAATTTTATTACTCATTTACAAATACTCTGACATTTCTAAATGGCAGATTTTTCAATAATCAGAAGCTAGTGATGTAATAAGAAACACATTTTTAAAAAGTAACAGGAATCTTAATGTTTCCAAGGAAACTTAAATAACCAGGGAGATGTTTTAGGAAGTAGCAAAGTTCATTTTGAAAATAGAAATAAAAATAAGAAAAAAAACTTTATTATAAATTTTAATAAAGTGACTTTTGAGTGTTTTTCAGTTCTATTAAATATAATTCTAACAAACGACTTCACTCATTTACATGATGAATGACTATTCACATTTAGTTCCTTTATTACTTCTAGCAAGGCAGAAAATAGCTCTTTTGCATGCTTCTGTAGAAGTGGATTGTTTTTCCCTTTTCTATGGTTGTATAGGGTTTGCAGTCTCAGAATGAAAAGATGACAGCTATTGTGAGTTCCTTAAGTGATAATTAGTTCTCTATGACAGTTTATTATGTTGCCACAGCTTATTAAAGCTCTTCATTTTCATACAATTATCAAATTCACCACTGGAAGGCTAACTTCAAAATGGAAATTCGCATGCAGGTGCTAATTCCTTGAAAAAAAGACATGAAAAATTTTGGCTGGTAGGGTCAAATGGCAGATACAAAAGGGCACATAAGCACATAAGTACACATGTGATTTTCTTTCCTTTTGTTAAAATATTTCCTTGGTTACTACATACCTTCTAGAAAATAAAATTAAAAGTTTAATCTTCTGAATATTAAGAAATATTGTGAAAGTAATTTTCTCCTCTTGGTTTTCTCTCTATGTGTGTGCATGCGTATACCCAGCTTTGTGACACCATTAATTACACTGAGGAGCTTTAACATTGCTTAAAGTTTCACAGACTGCCATAATAATTTCTTATATTAAAAAGCTGATACTTTTAAATTTCTTTCTGGTTGTAAACTAGAAGAATTAGTAATTTCTAAAACAAAAATAATCAATTTTGGGGAAAAATAATTTTTTATATTTTATGGGAAGATTTACTTTCTTGAAGGATTAAATGGAGAACCAGAGTTTAGCTATTAGAAAACTTGAAAAAGTTTTAACTCTTATCCCTTATGATAATGCTTCATTTGCATACATGATTTACTATTTATTTATCAAACTTGCGTAGTCCTTATATTTTGCCAAATACTGTTATATGTGTTTAACAAATATTGATGCATTTAATCCTTATAACAATTGTATGAAAGGTAACTGTTACTACTCTCATTTCACAGATGAGTAGTTGAAGCAGAGAGGTTGTTTATGATGCCACTCAGCCTACAAATGATAAATGTAAGATTTGAATCAGGCAAATTAAAATCTGATTGTTCTGTATAATTCATAAAATTGGGGTACTCCACTGGAACTCTGTCGCTGCTAGATTTATCTTAATCCCTTCTGTATTCTTTTAAATGGGTTCTTGATATTCATTGACATCTTTTTAAAAACAATATAACGTGAACATTTTCAGTGTGAAATTTTCAGTGTCTGCCTACAGTTCACAGTATAAATTCTAGCAATTTTGTATATTGTTCATACTCTCTCTTGACAATTGCCAGTATATCCAGTTTATCTATTGTAACTTCCTCTGCCCTCTCCAAAGTGCCATACTTAAGCACAATAAACCACATACAATTACCAGAACATGTCATGCTTGCATTTGTACTTATGTTTCCTATATTGGAAGCAGCTGATCTCTACTTATGCATCTGGGGTGATTCTTTAAGACTCTATTTGAGTACTGCCTTATATGTCAAGCCTTCTTTGAATTATTTAGTGTTCGTGTTTCTTGTTCCCTCATGCTGTCATTGTGCCTTGTAGATACCATTAGTAAAATAATGATTAAACATGACTGTCTTTACATAGGGATGTTTTTAACCCCACTCTATAAGATCCTTGAGGGTGGGAACAAGCCTTTGGTGTCTGCATATATTTTGAATAACTGCTTCATAAATGATGGACATTTCCACAGGTCTATTTTTCCTATGATATATCAGTTGAGAATGCATTCAGTGGCAAGTAATAACATAAACGGGGGCTAAATATTTTAGTTGGGTGATGTTGATGATTTAGCAGCTCATGTTGTCAAGGCAGGAATTCTGCTGAAATATATGTGTGTGTGTGTGTGCCTTTGCTTTGTGTTTTTAGCTTATTAGTTGTAAGACAGCTGCCCAGTCCCGACATCACATCCACATTTGGAACAGAGAGCAGAGACTAGAAAGCAGGGACTAGGTAGCAGTGCCAGCCTAGGAAAATTATGCCAGTATTCTACAGGCAAAATTATATCAGAGGGCCTGATCTGTCTTTCAAGAATGCAGACAAATGACTATTTAGCATTTCTAGCTTCTATAACGAACATAGACAAGAAAAAAAAAATTATTGGGAGTGGAAGTTTGGAGATCCAAACCTTAATGGAACAGCCATAATTTATACTTCAGTCATTAGGATCTATTTTGTCTACTGTCTTGCAATTTTCAGAATAGTTAATTTTCTTAGAATATACAGAAAGGAAGATATTTCATACCTAGCAATTCCATAAAAGGGACAACCACTGTCATCCTTCCAGGTGAACATTTATTTGTGTTAATTGGTCCAGGCTTCAAGGCCTGGTGGAAAGAAGACATGGCAGGAGAAATGAGAAAAGTGTCTGTGTGTACGAAGGAATTAGATGCACAGTAGCATAGATAATGGGGCAGATTCTTTCATTTAATATAATTAACACAATGTCCTGTCCATTGATAACTATAGTATTTTTAATAGTTTGGGGTGGAATACAGCCCAAAATATGCCACATGACATTTTTCCTTGAACTCAGCTCTCCTATTGTTTTGGTGGAAGCTCTCTCTTATGTCGTTGGAATAGCAACATTTCTGGTCTTGTCTTTATTCAGCTTGGGAATCTCTTTGAGAAGATATCAAAACAGGCATTTCTGTCAACTGACATGAAAACACTGAGTGAAGCAAATTTTCCCATGTAGTTGCCAGTTTACATGGCAACTGCAAAGGAATTTTCAAGGATTATATCTAAGTCAGTGGTTTGTTCTGCTATAGCATGTGTGGAGAATAAATTCAAAAGCATCTTTGGTATTTTTTAAATTTAATTATTTAATTTAATAAATTTAATAATAAAAATAACAATAGCTAATATTTACTGATTATCCATATTTTATGTCATTCACTTTATCTCTTTTAATATAGTACTTTGCTTTAAAAACATTCACAACAATTTCATGTGATGTGTTTGGCTGTGCCCCCACCCAAATCTCACCTTGAATTGTAGTTCCTATAATCCCCCAAAATTATGGGAGAGACCTGGTGAGATGTAATTGAATCGTGGGGGCAGTTACCTCCATGCTACTCTCCTGATAGTGAGTTTTCATGAGATCCAATGGTTTTATAAGGGGCTTTTCCCTGCCTTCATTCTGCACTTCTCCTTGCTGCCACCACGTGAAGAAGGACGTGTTTGCTCCACCTTCCGCCATCATTGTAAGTTTCCTGAGGCCTCCCCAGCCATTCTGAACTGTGAGTCAATTAAACCTCTTTCCTTTATAAATCACCCAGTCTTGGGATATCTTTATTAGCACGGTGAGAATGGACTAATACACCATGGAATGGGAACTATTTTCCATCAATTTTACAGATGCGAAAATTAAGACAATAAGAAATCACTTCCCCAAGATCACAAAAAGTCAAGGAGTAAAGCTGACCCGAAAGTCCATATTTTATCACATTGTTTTAGTTTCTTGAAGCTGCTCTAGCAAACTGCCACAAATATAGTACGTTAAACAAAAATTTATGCCCTTATAGCTCTGAAACCACAAATCCGAAACCATAGTGTTAATGGGGGTGCACTGACTCTGGAAGAGCAAGAGACAAATTTGTTTCCTGTTTCTTCCAGCTTCTGGTGGCTGCAGGCATGTGAAAACTCCCTCTGAGAGGATAAGTCTCACCTGTCGAGGTTCTTAATCATGTTTTTCCCATATAAGGAAATCCTTACTGTTTTACCATATCAGGTAATATTTACAGGTTCCATGGATTAAGAAGTGAATTCATCTTAGTGAGGCTATTTTTCAGCCTACCACACAAATGCAGTGAAGAATCCTCCAATACTGCTAAGAAAGCGCAAGGTCATTCTGTGGAATCTGGTCCATATATATATGCACATTAAAATAGAAAATATATTTCACAGAGGAAAAAGTAATGATGGAAATCTAATTTACATAATTAGAATTTTAAAAGTACTACAAGAAACTGTTAGAAAACGATGTCATTTAATTTCTCAGAAAACACAGAGAAAATGTGCTGCTCCAAATTCCTTACATGAACGAAATGTGACTTTGAGTCAAGCTTGGGCTGTTAAGTGATACAGCATTCATTCCTGTGAACCAATTTGAAGGAAGATGGGAGAAAAATAGGGTTATGAAGATCGTGGATGTCTGTAATTGAAAAGGAAGGCATTCTTGAGGTCACTGTGTCTATATATATCATATATATATATATATATATATATCATATGTGTATATGTTTGTGTGTGTGTATATATCTCTCTATATATGTATATAGATATATATATATATATGAAAGGGAGTTTATTCAGGAGAATTGACTCACATGATCACAAGTCCCATGACATGACATCTGAAAGCTGAGGAGCAAGAAAGCCAGTGATGGATCAGTCCAAGTCCCAAAACCTTAAAAGTAGGGAAGCCAACAGTGCATCCTTCAGTTTGTGGCCAAAGGCCTGACAACCCTGGCAAACCACTGGTGTAAGCCCAAGAGTCCAAAACCTGCAGGACTTGGAGCCTGATGTTTGACGGCAAGAAGCATCAAATATGGGAGAAAGAGGAAGGCCAGAAGATTCAGCAAGACTGCTCTTCCAAATCCACCTGCCTGCTTTATTCTAGCTGCACTGGAAGCTGATTAGATAATGCTTACCCAGATTGAGGGTGAGTCGGCCTCTCCCAGTCCACTGACTCAAAAGTTAACCTCCTTTGGCAACACCCTCACAGACAAACCCAGGAACAATACTTTGCATGGTTCAATCCAATCAAGTTGACACTCAATATTAACCATCACACTCCAAAAATGAACTGAAGACTTACAGGAGGGGGCATAGTGACTCTGTCTTCCTGTTCTTTTCTGGAAGACTTAGATCAGGTATTGACATCTCAAAGGATGAAATGAAGTGGTGGCAACTTCTTCCATGTTTTGATTGTTTAAAGAAAAATCTGATCTATGTTTTGGTGAAGCCTCTGAATTCAGCGATCTGTCTTTCATTTAGAGGTCTCCATTTCTTCACTGTAATATAGCTGTGTCCTAAGAAAGCCATGTGGTCAGATTGTGACACTTATTTTTCTAAGTTTCTTTATTAGTAAGGCCTACTGCCTGTTTTTGTTTGTTTTCTGTTTGTTCATTTTGTTTTGCTTTATATTTTTTCTTACAGTCATTTTTAATCTAAATGAATACTTTTACCTATTGTCTAATGTAGGTATAATGTAGACATATACTTTTAATCAGGACCCATCTAATTTGGAGACATTTTATAGACATGGGTAAACACATTAATAAAGAGGCAATCACTGTGTAGCTAGGTGAGCATTTTCATAATCCTTGAGTATCCAGGTAATCAAATAATGAAATATGTGTTTCTGTCTTCCAGAATTAAATCCAATACTTTAATTTATTATTTAAGATACCTAATTATTCTACATCACCAAAACCTATGCCTAGATTTATATTTTTCTTTCACCAACCTGTTTATCTTTTGCCCACATTAGCTCTATATGTCTACCTAGCATGAATCAATCATCTGTCTATTTATCTATTCCTTTTGCTAAAATATCTGTTAAAGCTAAAATTCTATGAAATACTCATCAATCAGTCAAATAATTCACATGCATAATTTAGATAGAATAAATTCACAACTAGTGATGAAAATAAATGCTCTGAATGTTTTGTGAATTTAAAAACCTTGGGTTAATCATAGGACTTTAAAATATGACATGATAATGTACTCATAGAGATTAAATTTTTAGAACTGTATTATGTGATCCATTAGCTATGTAGAATAAAAGGATATATAGAAAATAATATATATACACACATCTATATGTATCTGTATCTAGACATATATAGATATTTCTGTATCACGTTTTTCTCTTTAAAGATTATTAATGAGAGTTATTTTTCTGCATCATAGTCAGTTTGAAATCACTATTTAAATTAATTATGACAGCCATATCAATTAGACATAAGAGATTTCTAAAGCTAATTAGAGTCTGAGAGTTTTTAATTTGACGTCTGTCTCTGTGTAATATGTGCTTTATGCATTAAATTAATGAAATTAAGCCTGCATCATTATAAATATCCACTTTCATAGTTCCATAAGTTTCACAATTACATGCCATATTTGAGTGATAATTGAATGAGACTAAATAATTATGTTCACATCAGCATTGGTAGGATTTTAAGAATGTATCTTTTACTTTTCACTCTCAAGTCTTGTGTACCTAGCAGTACACAACTTGTTGCCAAGAAAACCTTGTCATTTTCAGAATAAAGACAGTGTAATAGAAGCTGTAAGAGAGATGAGGTTCATCAGAAGCATATTAATGTATTATAAAATAAGGTAATACCTGAAGACCAAAAAATATATAAACTCTAATTAATGTACAGTGTAATATTTTACAAACTCTTCTATTTAATAGGACCATATTTACCTGAGATGATTACCTGATGCATTATACTCAATATAAATATAGAAAATGATTTTGTTTTTAAAATAAGAAATTTGTCTTCTCTGCATATATATGTGTAATTTATGTTTATATTAAGGTTGCATCACTGTATAATGTTTTGAAATAAAACTTTAACATATTCTGTGAAAATACATATTTAAAGTGAAGAAAAGAATTAATTTGCATGCAAATGGGACTAAAACATGATATATGAGAGGACTGCAACCCTGCCTTTAAGATTTGCTTGTGACATTTGTGTTTTAACAGGCAATTAAAATTTAATTTGTCCTATGATGAAAAGCAAATCCTTTTATCCTATTTCAGCAGTCTGAAAAGGTACAGACTCTATTACAAAAGAAGACTGTGGCTAAAGGTTTCTTGTGCCCTTGTGACCCCGCGGTATGAAATTGATGATAATCCAATCAAGGATTGACATAAAAATAAGTCTGCACGTAAACGATTATGAGTGGAAAGACAATGGCTGAGAGAAAGGAGTCATTGCTCATGGTCTGCTTGAAGCCTTTCAGAGGAAGGCTTTGTTTGTCTTTTTTGCAATCGCAAAAGTGTCCCAGTGCATACCATTGGTTTGCTGAAATAGCTATTAGGAAATTCTGTCAGGGTGAGATTAGTGCAGAAAACCAGATGGGATGTTTCCAGGCCCTTACCCCTGAGTAATGAAAGAAAGAAAGAAGTGAAGAAAGAAGAAGTAAGTGATGAAGAGGAGGGAAAGGGGCTTTACTATAAGCTGAGTTGATGAAATGTGTCTAAATAGTATTTGGCAAGCTGGAAATCTACCTGGTCTGTATAATTCTGTATTTTTCTTAGAATATTTGTAATGTATTATTTTTAATGAGAGAAAGAATCAATTAAGAATAAGTCATTCGGCCGGGCGCGGTGGCTCACGCCTGTAATCCCAGCACTTTGGGAGGCCGAGGCGGGCGGATCACGAGGTCAGGAGATCGAGACCATCCCGGCTAAAACGGTGAAACCCCGTCTCTACTAAAAATACAAAAAATTAGCTGGGCGTAGTGGCGGGCGCCTGTAGTCCCAGCTACTCGGGAGGCTGAGGCAGGAGAATGGCGTGAACCCGGGAGGCGGAGCTTGCAGTGAGCCGAGATCGCGCCACTGCACTCCAGCCTGGGTGACAGAGCGAGACTCCGTCTCAAAAAAAAAAAAAAAAAAAAAAAAGAATAAGTCATTCATCCAGCCAAAATATATATTATGCCTAGTTGACCTTATGTTTTCTCAAAGAAGGCTAGGGATTTGACCCAGGCTTAAGAACTAGGGCTAAATGAAAGTTAAGTTAACCATTTTTAACAGAAGGGGTACTGTTTTCTGGAAAGTTTGTTCAGAAATATATGAGGATATTTTTCATTGCACAATGATGTGGCCCTCAACCTTCATTTAAGTTGTGGGGCAGCTGGCAGGGAGCAGGGGTCAGGCCTGTAATCCCAGCACTTTGGGAGACCAAGGCTGGTGGATCATCTGAGGTGAGGAGCTCGAGACCAGCCTGGCCAACATGGTCTCTACTTAAAAAAAAAAAAAAAAGAAAAGCCCGGTGTTGTGGCACGCGCCTGTAATTCCAGCTACTCTGGAGGCTGAGGCAGAAGAATTGCTTGAACCTGAGAGGTGGAGGTTGCAGTGAGTCAAAATTTTGCTGCTGCACTGCAGCCTGGGCAACAGAGTGAGACTCTGGCTCTAAATAAATAAATTGTGGGGCAGCTTTATTCAAAGAAGGAATTTTCCCATATCCATCACAACTAGGGAATATCTTTCCTAACACCCATTAGAGGAGAAAATATTTTAAATGATCTAGGTCTGTAGTGTAACTCTCTTTTCCATGTAAAGAAAGTATGTTTGCATGGGTTTAATATGCACTAAATTTTGGAGGAAGATTACTCTGCTCATTGAGGAGATATTTACTTTGTTGTGTTTTAGTCTAGGAGGTTATTCAGTATTTCAGAATATCGTCTTTCTTTTCTTTTTTTAGTAGGAGTGCTGCTTTTTGTATTTCAGTCACCAACTCAACTGTATCAGTCTGACTTTATAGCTGATACACTCATGATATTTCCGTGTTTAGAAATAAGCACCGGGTGCACTTTGGGAGGCCAAGGAGGGTGGATCACGAGGTCAGGAGATCGAGACCATCCTGGCTAACACGTTGAAACCCCATCTCTATTAAAAATACAAAAAATGACCCGGGCGTGGTGGCGGGTGCCTGTAGTCCCAACTACTGGGGAGGCTGAGGCAGGAGAATGGCCTGAACCCGGGAGGCGGAGCTTGCAGTGAGCCGAGACTGCGCCACTGCACTCCAGCCTGGGCGACAGAGTGAGACTCTGTCTCAACAAAAAAAAAAAAAGAGAGAGAGAAATAAGCACCGGGTTACTTCATTCTGTTTTTGTATAGTCATGATTAATTATTTCTAAATTTTAAAATTATTTTATAATACATTTCTATTTTTTCTTTATAGAAGAGTTAGGGCATTCCATTTTTTATTTACTAACTAACATGGTAGGATATGTTATCCATAGATATATTTTCAGGATACCAGGGCAGAGGGCATTAGCAATGAAATAAAATCTATATTTAATAGGGTAGTGGGAAAGAGAGGGTCAAGATTGTGTACCAGGTGTTAGGTGTGTGTGTGTGATTGCTCTGAAGTGGAGTGTTTGAGATCAAAACATCTCAAAGTTGGATCCTAGTGGTAAAGCCAGCTTCACAAAACAAGGGATGGTATGTTCTATCCACTGCGTTGGGAAACTGAAAAAATTGGAGTTCAATATTGAAAGAGTTGCAAGGTAAAGTTAGTATAGGATAGGATTATCTAAATTCAAGAGTTTTACATAATCCTAATGGTAATTTTACCCAGAAAATGAAGGCTTCAAGGTAACACCTATCTTGCCTGTGAGGTATTGGGCACTGTAATATAAAAATGTATGTGATAGCAATAAAATCCTCCACATTCAATACCTCATAAAGTAGGGTCTTCAAATTTTAATTAAAATGTCCGTTCTTCTAAATATTGGAATTCCTCAATTTATGGAGTCCCTGAATTTTAATAATATTGTATACACAGAAGACATGTATAAAATATACTGGTTTTTGATGGACATATGGATATAACTCAGATATGATAGATTTGACCTCAAACTGAGTTAACAACTTATCAAGAACTGGGTTTTCACTGTGGAAAACAGTGTGGCAATTCCTGAAAGACCTAAAAACAGAAATGCCATTCAAGCCATCAATCCCATTACTGCGTATATATCCAAAGGAATATAAATAGTTCTATCATAAAGACATATGCACTTGTATGTTCATTGCAGCACTATTCACAATTACAAAGACATGGAATCAACCTAACTGCTCATCAGTGTTAGACTGGATAAAGAAAATGTGGTACACATACATCACAGAATACTATGCAGCCATTAAAAAATCCCAAGATCACATTTCTTCCAGGAACATGGATGGAGCTGGAGACCATTTTCCTCAGCAAACTAACACAGGAACAAAAAACCAAATACTGCTTTTTCTCACTTATAAGTGGGAGCTAAATGAGGAGAATACATAGACACATAGAAGGTAACAACAGACACTAGGCCTATCAAAAAGTGGAGGGTGGGAGAAGGAAGAAGGTCAGGAAAAATAACTAATGGGTACTAGGCTTAATACCTTGGTGCTGAAATAATATGTTTAATAAACCCCCATGACACAAGTTTACCTATATAACAAACTTGCATATGTACCCATAAACTTACAACAAAAGTTAAATTTTTAAAAAAGTAACTGGGTTTTGATGTTGACAGCTCCCATGTTAAGCTGAGCAATATAGCGTACAGAGACATTTTAATAGTTGCTAGTAAAATCAAATTGATACTTGCCTGGTCATATTTATTTTTTAACCAAAAAGTTTATTTTGAGGGACTTCTGCCTTCTTTTCTATCACATTTTCAAACCCTTTTCTATTTTGCCATTATTAGCCATTCATCCTGGAAACAGAGATTATTAATGCTTATTCATCAGAATCTAAGATGTTTTCTAATGATTTGGTATTCTGTCTCTTTTCTCTGTCTCTGTCTCTGTCTCTCTCTTCCTGATGGGATCTAGCTCTGCCACCAAGGCTAAAGTGCAGTAGCATAGTCCTTGCTCACTGCATCCTCAAACTCCAGGACTCAAGGGATCCCCCTGCTTCAGCCTCTGGAGTAGCTAAGACTGCAGGTACACACCACTACTCCTGGTTATTTATTTTTATTTTTATTTTTGGTAGAGAAGGGGTTGATTTGGTGTTTTAACTTGGGTCTCCTAAGAAACACTTGCCAAGATGAAAATGGATAGGCTGGAGAAAGCAGAGACAGCCCTTAGATTAGAATGAGTTTTTACCCCCATGAAAGAGAGAAGAGAGGAAGGAGGATGGTGTTGGGATAGTCTCAGACTGCAGCGCAATTCCACGAAAGTTTTGGCTGAAACAACAGAGAGTCTTTATGCTGAAGTTGACCTTTAGAGGTGTCTCACATATTGCTGGAATGATCCTGCTCTAGTTACATTGTCATGCTCAGTCACTGACTGGATTTGAAGCAAATGTAGTGGTGGATCCAGAGAGATGGCAGCGGAATTGGTCATTCAGTTACATAACCTCCAGCAGATACTCTGAGCAGCACCTTTCCATGGTGAGAAAATGGTGCTTAAAGAGTCAGGAGTCGTCTGCAATGGACCTCTTTGACTTCCTGCTGTACGCTAGAATCTGCTTCAGTAGGTCAGTCGAAACAGGTGTAGACATCAGATCAGTTCTTCTCAGTGTCCGTGACACTTCTCAGGTCATGAAGAAGATAAACAGATTCTAGGTGTAAAGCCTGTGGTCACGCAATATTCATCAGAGAAAACTTTGCTATTGGGAGTGGGAGTGAGAACAGTAAGGAACAGGTCTTATTTGATGATAGGGAATAAAGTAAACCTTCTCTATGCATGCTCATGACACTCAAAGTGAATTCGATTTCCGGAAGGCTTCTTTCTGACTTTTGCTTTGAGAGTAATAATTTTGTTGCCCAGAGTCTCTAGATTATGGTTGATGTTTTCATTCTCTGATCCTCTGCACACCCAATGAGTACAAATGTGGCCTGTGACATTCTTTCTTAAACTCTTAATGGCTGTGTGATGTTCAGAGTTTGCTTTCAACAGAAGCTGCAGACTGCATGTACACTGTGCAGTTAACATCCAGGGGCACTCAAGGTTAATTAGAAATGGTAATAAGTTTAATCATGATGAACTCATTTAGTGCTGATGTGGATGTCACCTGTAATTCCATAAAAATTCCATTGTAATTTAACATTAATTAATGTCCACTTATCAACGAGTGTTACAGCAAATTAGTAGAGAAATGACAAGTTATGTGCTTAAGAAATGCTTAATGGAAGAAAAATAAAACAGCATTTACTAGGTCATCTTAAAATGTGAACAGATCAAGACATCTTTATTATTTAAAATATGAGATTAAAATCAGGTAAAGTGGCAGTAATTAGGCAAGACTTTGACAATAATTTTTCTGAAAACTAATGGGGTTACAGCAAACATTAAGAATATAGATTTGCCTGAATTACCATTTTTTAACATAAATTGACAGAGAAGAGATGGAGCTGTTCTTATCATTATCCTATAATAAGAGAAGCTGCTGAATCTTCAATAATCATCATCATGAAGCAATGGTCTTATTCATGTAAAATAAAAGTATTTTTCTCCTTATGTAAAAATGTTATTAGCCATATTTGAAGGCATTATACTCAGATATCATTCTTCCATTTCTGTAAATGACAACCATTAAATGCAATCGTAGATACATGACAAGACTATTTTTATTACATCAAAAGGAAGAAAGGGATTAAAATGAATTTATTCAAAGGTGTGATTTGTCAATTTTTTTCCTTTATCAAGGCACAAATGGGACAGCTTTAAACCTAAACATTGAGATCTGACCTCATATTTGAATAAGTTAATGTGATCCGGTGTTCTTTGAGAAGTACTAAAGCCTCTCTTTTGTATTCGGAAATCCCAGGAGAAATTTTGGCTTTTAGGAGGTCAGCTCCAAGGTTCCATTTCTTTTCATCATTTTCCCTTTTATCATTTGTCAGTTCTTGACAGCTTAGGAGTCTTCTACGTGTCTGTGGCATGCAGTACAGTATGGAAAGAAATTTATAGAAAGTATTTCTTTCTTATTACCTAGATCTTTTAGAGCCATGTTATAACTGTTTAAAAAGCTTTTTCCTTAGGGAGAGAGAAATCATTCCAAATGCACAATTGAAATGCATACTTCAGAGAATAATATAGAGCTATCAAATTTTTGCTAAATTATTTTCAGATTTCAGTTATGAATTTGGGTTCATTAATTTAGATATTATCATAAACATTTTAAATAATTTTTTCAAATCTGAAAAAAGACATAGTTATTAATGTCAGTAATGTCAGTAGAGTTTTTCTGGATCTATTCATCAAGCCAGTTTTAGTTTTATAGACTTATTTTTTTTTGGCCTTAAATATGTATTTCTGCTCTAAATACTCAATGGTGCCTGGGTTTTTTTATTTTTTATTTTTTTGCCTTAAACATGTATTTCTGCTCTAAACATTCAGTAGTGCCGGCATATATGCTCAGATAAAAGAGAAGATATATTAATAACATAATACAATAACTGACAGTAAATAGTGAGCTTGGAATATATTTTTACCTTTATAGCTATTTAAACATGGCAGATAAGGCTGGAGCCATTGGTGCTTAATTAAATTGGGATAAAATGTGGACATTTTGACAGCACCATGGGGTACAAGTGAAAGGGAGTTCCCTAAAGTAAGAGAGTAGGTCATTCTTTTGCACCTATGAATTCTCATTTCTCAATATGGTGCCTAGAACTCATGAGACAATCAATGCATTTTTGTATTTTGAATGAAAACTGGAATTAAGTTCAGCATCTGTATTAGTCTGTTCTCATGCTGCTAATAAAGACATACCCAACACTGGCCAATTTACAAAGGAAAGAGGTTTAATTGACTCACAGTTTAGCATAGGCGGGGAGGCCTCAGGAAACTTACAATCATGGCAGAAGGGGAAGTAAACACATCCTTCTTCACATGGCAGAAGCAAGGAGAAGTGCCAAGAAAAAGGGGGAAAAGCCCCCTTTTTATAAGGGTTTTATCCATCAGATCTCATGAGAACTCACTATCATGAGAACAGCATGAGGGTAACTGCCCCCATGATTCAATTACCTTCCACTGGGTCCCTCCCAAAACTTGTGGGGATTATCAATTCAAGATGAGATTTGGGTGGGGACACAGCCAAACCATATCAATTCAGCTCTGGCTCCTCCCAAATCTCATGTCCTCAATTTCAAAACACAATCATGCCCTTCCAACAGTCTCCCAAAGTCAAGGCAAGTCCCTTCCACCTGTGAGCCTGTAAAATCAAAAGCAAGTTAATTACTTCCTAGATACAATGGAGGTGCAAGCATTGGATACATAAACCCATTTCAAATGAAAGAAATTGGCTAAAACAAAGGGGCTACATGACCCATGCACGTCTGAAATCCAACAGGGCAGTCATTAAACCTTAAAGTTCCAAAATAATGTTCTTTGACTCCATGTCTCAGATCCAAGTCTTGCTGATGCAAGCTCCACCCCTGTGTCTTTGCAGGGTACAGCCCCCCTTCAGGCTGCCTTCATGACTGGCATTGAGTGTCTGCAGCTTTTCCAGGCACATGATACACGCTGTCAGTGAATCTACCATTCTGGGATCTGGAGATTCTTCAACCTCAATTCTTGACTTCTGTGCACCAACAAGCTCAATATGACATGAAAGCCACCAAGGCTTGGGGCTTGCATCTTCTGATGCAATGGCCCCTTTTAGCCACAGCTGGGACACAGGGCACCAAGTCCCAAGACTGCACAAAACAGCAATGCCATGGGTCCAGCCCACAAAACCATTTTTCCTCCTATGCCTCTGGTCCTGTGATGGGAGAGGCTGCTGTGAAAATCTCTGACATGCCCTGGAGACATTTTGCCCATTGTCTTGGCAATTAACATTTGGCTTCTCATTACTCATGCAAATTTCTGCAGCGTGCTTGAACTTCTCCTCAGAATATGGGTTTTTCTTTTGTATCGCATGTCAGGCTGCAAATTTTCCAAACTTTTATGCTCTGCTTCCTTTATAAACGTAAGTTCCAATTCCAAGCCATCTCTCTCAAGGTCAAAATTCCACAGATCTCTAGGGCAGGGGCAAAATGCTGCCAGTCTCTTTGCTAAAGCATAACAAGAATGATCTTTGCTCCTGTTCCCAAGAAGTTTCTCATCTTCATCTGAGACCACCTTAGCCTGGCCTTCATTGTCCATATCACCATCAGCATTTTGTTCAAAGCCATTCAACAAGTCTCTAGAAAGTTCCAAACTTTCCCACATTTTCCTATCTTGTTATGAGCCCTCTAAACTGTTTCAACCTCTACCTGTTACCCAGTTTCAAAGTGGCTTTCACGTTTTCAGGTATCTTTACAGAAGCACCCCTCTCTCTGTGGTACCAATTTACTGTGTTAGTCCGTTCTCATGCTGAAAATAAAGACATACCTGAGACTGGATATTTTATAAAGAGATTTAATTGATTCATAGTTTAGCATGGCTGGAGAGGCCTCAGAAAACTTAACAATCATGGCAGAAGGGGAAGCAAGGAGAATGGAGGCAGCAAGGAGAAGTGCTCAGCAAAAGGGGGAGAAGCCCTTATAAAACCATCAAATTTAATGAGAACTCACTATCATGAGAACATCACGAGTGTAATTGCCCCCATGATTTAATTACCTCCCACCAGGTCCCTCCATGACACATAGGGATTATGGGAACTACAATTCAAGGTGAGACTTGGCTGGGGACACAAGCAAACCATTTCAGCATCATGTGTTGAAACATAGTATTTGAGAATTGAATTTTTGTTGATTATAATATTTTCCAACCCCCATTAATTTTTCTATGAAGCCCTCAATTATATCTTTTCTCCACATATGGCTAGTTATTGGCATTGCTTTTGGTATTTTTGAATGCTCAAATGCTTGGATGAATGAACTAATCAATCTCCCTAAAAACATGGTGGACTTTTTAAAAAATTGAGGTATTGCATATAGAATATTGCATAAACCTTCAGTACAGCTTACTGAATATTTACATGTGTTTACACTCATGTGACCACCACCTAGAACAAAATACGTACTATTTCTGTCATTCTGATAAGCTGTTTCTTTACTGCACTCAGTGAATCAGCTCCCAAGATGTTATCACTTCTGACCACATTCACTGTGGAATAATTTTATGCATATATTAGACTGGATTCATATAAATAAAATTGTGTGTCTAGCTTTTCTTTCTTTCAAGATTATGTCTGAGATTATGTCCTCCATGATGTCACGTGCAGCAGTAGTACATCCCTTTCATCACTATGTAGATCACTATGTGGATTCTATTTTATAAATATACAACAATTGATTTATCTATTCATTTTTTTCCAATTTTCAGTTATATATAACATTGCTAAAAATAATTTTGTACAATTACAAAATGTGCTCATAAGTATTAGTTTCTTTTGGGTATATACTCAGGCATGAAATGACTTTTTTTACACGTATATGTATATATGCATGTAAACATGTTTTCAGTGGTTTTATGTGTATAAATATATCTACATATACTATATAGATATCTGTATATAAATATACCATACATGTATATAGCCAGTTTCTGAAAATCATTGTACTTTCGCTTTTACTTTCAGTTCTCATTCACTAGTGCATGAGTGATTTTCCATATCCTCACTAACAATTGGTATGGACAGTCTTTTTAATTTTTGTCATGATATAGAGGATGAATAGTATCTCATTGTAAACTTGTTTGCATGCATGCATACACACATGAATCATCCAACTATATCTTCCAAAGAAGTGAAGTTTCTATTTTTTTACCATCCCAATGACTGGAAACCCAATTACCACTATATATCTTTGAGTTAAAAACAAAATAAAACCAAAAGCTGCATTGTAGTGTACTAAAATCTCTCAAATGTGCTTTATACCAAACCACTGATATATTTCTGTTTAGAATGCCCCTAGCATGCTCAAAAATAAAATTATAATTAATAGCTGCTCAATAAAATTTCAGATCTCGTATCTCCTTCAGTTTGATTTTGATATTCCTCTTCTCTCTGTTTCTTGTCACAATGTACTTACATCTATTGAGGGGCTTGGTATTCTGTGTTACAGTTAATTCTCTATTTATCTGACTCTTTCACTGGACTGAGTATCAGCCAGACAAATACCATGTGTGACTTTATATTGTTTACTCTGTGTCTTGCAAAATATTTGGTTTGATAAGAGCTCCAGAAGCTTTTGCACAATGAATAATCATCAAGTTCATTGACTCTTCACCTTACCTTTTACAAGCTCTCTGTCCATATGTAGAGAAGATGAAAGGGAAGGACAGAATAAGAGAAGAGAGACCTTAATGTCTTATGGTCTTATTTAATTCCCCCATATTCTTACAATCAATTTCATATCTCACCTTGATTGATGAGGTGACCTATAATATATTATTCAAATGATGATACTTTTGAGGGTGAAAGGGACATCTTAAGATGGGATTTTGGAAAAAGAGATATAATCTGTTTACATATAGTAAAGAATACAGATCTGAAGTGGTTTGTGCTTAAGCGAGTTTGAATGGTTTTCTATTTCTTGCACCCCAAACAGCCTTGATAAGCTACAAACATGTTTTTGCTATTGCATGATCCTCTAGATACTTACAGAACCTCTCAGAACTGGAATGATTTTTAGGGGCAGATTTGCTGTATGAGTCATAAGATGACACTTAGATGAAAATCACATAATTTGAGATCCCGTCAAATATAAATCATTAAGGATTAGCCTGGTAGCCCCACTCTCAAGATCCCATTGGATCCAACTACATATCCCACCTGAAGATTTATGAGCTTCAAATACTCAGCTGTTTCTACCTGAAAATGTCTGCTAATAATATGTAAGTGAAAGAATACGGTAAGACCTACAGAATTTTGAAAAGCGAGAGGAGATGTGGGCTTTCTCTTAGATCTAATAGCCCTCATCTGCAGTTTTAGTTACTGAAGATCCACTGCAGTCTGAAAATAGATAAGTATGCTACAATAGGATATTCTGAGAGAGAGAGTCACATGTATATGATTTTTATAGTATATTGTTATTCTATTTTGTTACTAGTTATTGTTGCTAATATCTTACTGTGCCAAATTAAACTTTATCATAGCATATATGTACAGGAGAAAATGTAGTGTATAGAGGGTTTGGTACATTCCACAGTTCCAGACATTCACTGGGGGACTTAGAACATATCCCTATGGATAAGAGGGAAGTGTTTGTGGTTAAGAATTTGGAATATGCCAGGCTTTGTGGAATAATCTAAGAAAGCTAATCCAGAAACATAGTATAAAGACTAAGCTTTAGAGTCTGTATATTCTGAAAAACGAAAATAATAAAAATAACAAAATAAATATTTAAGAGGTGTGTGGATTTCCCCTGGAGAAAAAGGAAGTCAAGAGGTTTCTTTGCAAACTGTTTCTCACTCGATAGAAGGCAGAGTAGGTACTGAGGGTAGCTCTACAGAAGAAAAATGTGAGCTGGAATCTTAAAAGGATTTTTCTTAAAAAAAAAACTGTTTCATATATCTGGACTAGGAAAGAGTTATCCCGGAGACTAAATATGAGACCCTCAAAAGTTTACTCAGCTGTCATTTCCCACAGAGAGTGTTAGGAGGCCTCATTGTATCCTGTCTTATTACTTGCTCATGTATCACTGGCTATTCAGGCAATTTACAATTTTATCTAGGACTTCTCCACATTTATTTTTATTCTTTCCTTGTGACAGCTGAGAAACCCACACATGTTTTATAACTCTTCCAGAGTCTTGTAATACAATCATTTTCTGTATGCATTTCCTCTCTAGACTATTAACTGTCAAGATGAGACTCTTTGGTAATCATCTTGTTTCTGTGTACACAATAGTATGGGTAAAACATTATAAGGGCTAAACAAACCTTTCCTGAATAAGTGAGACAATAAGTAAATTAACCTTCCTAAACTGAGTATTCATTTTTGTTTATCATAAAAAATTTAAAGAAAAGACCAGATAATTTCTAAGTATACCACCAACTTTCACATTTGGTGTGCCAATATTCTCTAAATAAATTGAAAATACACTATCAAAGACTAAAATAACTTGCTTTGATTAAAAACAAACAAACATTGAAAGCCCTCTGTTTCCATTTTACCTTTACTGTATTAACATTTTAAACCCTGGAAGTTGTACATGAACATTAGAGAGTCATTTTAAAGGAAGTATTTATGATTGAATGGGAAATGCTAGAAGGTAGAAATTTCAAATAACTTTATAGTGTTACTGCATTTAAAAATTGTCATTAATTTTCAACAATGGGTTGTTTTATATGCATGACACCCTATCTTCAAGTGCTGAGAAATAAAATTAGCACTTGTATAATGACACAGAGTTTACAGAGCAGTTTTCTTATGCACTAATTCATTGCTTTTCAAATATTCTTCAGGAGAAAAGTATTTTGTAATAAAATTCTGTTACTTTTAAATCTTGTCTGTGATCCTAAGGCTAAAACTATGTCAAATGGAGCTACTCTGCATGGAAAAAGACCAGGAATCTTGCGACCCCAATCATTTGGTCTTGCACTCACTGCTTCAGTGCATTTTGCCATGCTTTCAGTAAACCCTTGGGCTCAGTGAAACCCAGTTTTAATGTCATTAACCCTATAGCAATGGTTTAAGGATCTGTTTGATTGAATAGCAGACTAAGGTCGGAGAGATTAAGGATTTGCTCAAAGTTACAAGGCCAATATATAGTGAAGATAGGATAAGTCCACATATTCAGACAGCAACTCTGATACCTGTCAGTTCACGAAAATTGAATATGAAGACTTTAAAGGCAGTCCACTTAACCTTCTTTCCACTAGAGAGATGAACACTCTGTACAGTATATCTATAAAATCACTTTTTTTCTTTTCCTTTCGTGTTTACTACTCTATATAAAGGGGCACTTTTTCTTTTTTTTTTTTTTTTTGGCAGAGTCTAGCTGTATCGCCCAGGCTGGAGTGCAGTGGCGCCATCTCGGCTCACTGCAACCTCTGCCTCCCGGGTTCAAGCGATTCTTCTGCCTCAGCCTCCTGAGTAGCTGGGACTACAGGCACGTGCCACCACACCCATCTAAAATTTTGTACTTTTAGTAGAGACGGGGTTTCACCATGTTGGCCAGGATGGTCTCAATCTCCTGACCTCATGATTCACCAGCCTCGGCCTCCCAAAGTGCTTGATTACAGGCGTGAGCCACCGTACCCGGCCAAGGGGCACTCTTAACGAAGAAATTTTTTTTTTTTTCTCCACACTTCCATGAAGTGCTAGCCTATTTCTCTTTTCTAACTTGTTTCCCTCTAAGGCAAAATACATGGACAGATAGGTGACAGCCAAACATTTGCAAATCATATTTTCTGTGCCAGCTTGGAAATCGGTTTCAGATTCCTACTCAAATGAGGCACTCCTAACTCTGCTTCTTCTTTTAGACTATTTGAGCACAGATGTAATGGCTTCTCTTAGGCTTCCAGTTCCTGTGCTATATGCAAGCAAGCTAGGTCTCATGGTTTCAGCTCTTTATCTTGGCTAGATTTCCTACCTAACGTTAGCTGCAAATTATGTGGAACTTCTCAGTGGATGTGATTTTCTTCCCTTGGGGAAGAAGAAATTGAGTGATGAAGAAACAGAAGAGGAAGTAGGGTGTACCTTGTTTACATCATGCACAAACCATATTCTTCATTATAGATTTTCCAGTAATGATTAATACTTATAAATGGGTAATTATAAATCTTAAATACTTATAAATCTCCATATGGCATCTGCCATCCACTCTTCATTGGTTAGAACCTAGATGAAGAAGCGTAAATAATTGGCATTCCTTATTGTTGATGCTTTCACAAATAAAATCAAATAATTACTAAAATATCTGAAGCAGAGATCCTAACATATGAGAATTCCACCAGGAATTAATTTCATTTTGTTTACTATTTTTAGTGAGAGATTGCAGCCAGAATCAAGTCAAAGGCAGAGACAGAGGTGATCTTTTAAAAATAACTTTTCTTGTCTTTGTAGAAATAGGTGAATGGCCTTTTATTTTAGTGGTGTAATTATTAAGTCAGTAAGCTGAATTTTTATATATATATGTATGTATGTGTATATATATATAAATATATATATGTATGTGTATATATATATGTATGTATGTGTATATATATCTCTCTCTCAAAAGTTAAAACTTCACTCAAAAGGTGAAGTTTACATATATATATATATATATATATATATATATATATATGTACACACACACACACATATTCATTGAAGAAAATATCTTTCTTTCTGGAAAGAATACTATTATTGAACAATAGCTTATTTTATGTCAAAAATGAGGTCCAGTCTCAGTGGGTCATGCCCCTAATCCCAGCCCTTTGAGAGACTGAAGCAGGAGAGTAACTTGCACCCAGGAGTTCAAGACCATTGTGGGCAACAAAGTGAGACCAACCCCATCTCTACCAATAATTTTTTTAAAACAATAGACAGGCATTGTGTTGTCCATCTGTAGTCCCAGCTACCCAAGAGGCTGAGGTAGGAGGATTGCTTGAGTCCAGGAAGTTGAGGCTGCAATAAGTCATGATTGTTCCACTGCATTACAGCCTGGAGATAATGAGCAAGAGCAAGACCCCATCTACAAAATTTTTAAAAATAAATAAATTGAGAAAACAAGCTCAGGTTTTAGGAAAGAGTTATTTGGGGATTGTATCAGGCAGTTTGCAACTGACCATATAGCATTGTCACATTCTCATTTTATTTCATGCCACCAACTTAGAGCTACTAAGATCTGCAACTTCCTACTGGCTGGTTTCTTTTGGCTATGGGAGCATGCTCTCCTATCTGCATGGCAGAATGGAAGTGCTGTAGCACTATCCCCACCCAGGAGCAGCTATTAAGCAATGACTGACAAGAATTGTGTAAATTTCTCAGCTTCTTCACCCCTCAAGTGCGGTAAGTGTGAGGCCAGTATCTATACTCTGTATCAGAGTTCCCCAGTAGAATTCAGCTCTAGTTACCTTGAGTGATAACTTGCTTCATCACACACCAGTCTTCGGACTCCCCCATTTTCTGTCTTATTTTGTTATGCACTTACCAGCATTCCATAAAATCACATCCAAATATATTACTTACAATCAGGTTATTGGTTTTGTAGAGTCTTGTTCTGAAGCAATCCAAATGAAAACAGGTTAAAATGATTCTGGGTTCTTGTTCACCAGGGAGAAACCGGGAACACTGTGATTCTAGAATTTTTTAAGGGGGATCCTTGGTCACCTGGGTCCAGAACGTGCCCTGGGAAATGGCTGTGTGTTTAAATTTTGATAGAGAAGGAATGGGTTAGTTAAGAGTGGCCATATATATAGCTCAGACATATCTGGATGTAAAGGCCTTTTGATTCAACTTAGAAAAAGGAAATCAAATTGCTTGGAAGAACATGTGCCAACGTTTTTCTTTCCAGAATACTGGAAAGCAACTGGAGCCTTGGGCTCAATGTACTGCCATGAATTAGACTCAAACTTCCAGAACATCATTACTCTTATGTGACAGTCTTGACCAATTTGGATTGTAGCTGTTTTTAATTAGGCTGACAGTGGCGAGAAGGCAATCCACCTCATGGAGAGGCTTTCTCTTTAGAATGTGCATATCTATCACCTGTGAATGCCATAGAATTCAGAAATTCTCCAAGCTTTTGTTTTTCACTCTAGATTTGCAAAGTACAGTATATACTTTCATCTCCATCACACAAGGGAGGACATGACAGGTTGTATCCATCTGAAGATACTTAAAGGCAGCTCACAGTTCTCTGTATAAATAATGGAAATAAGGAAGGACAATGGGATTGTGAACTTCCCACTATTATAAGCACTTTGTGGACTAAGGCTGCACAGTCTTTTGTGTTGACATAGGACATAGTCTGGCTACCAAAGTCCTTTTATGCATCTCCTGGAACCAAATTCTAGTGAAACTGAACTATTGTTAATAAATATATCTTTAATTTCTCTGATACTCTGCATTTATTAAAACGTATTTATCTATGTCAAATTTATGTGGCATATATATAATTCAAATTTTACCAATTAGTAGTCAACCCTTAGGTGAAGAAATTTTTGATACTTATATCAAATATTTGTTGAGTACTTATGATGTGTCAGTTACTGAGTTAAGTATGAAGGATAAAGCAATGAAGGCAGAAGTTCCTTTAGTTCAGGGAGCTTACAGTCCAGATGTGCAAAACATTAACAGATACTTACTATTAAAGGCAATTTAGACAAAATTAAACACGATACAAAATGACAAGTATTTAAGCCAAAGTAAATTTCCTCTAGGTCTTATGATTGCCAACCTTCTTGATAAATTTGGTCCACATAATTTATAATATTCTAAGTTAAAATAATTACTAGTTTGATATTAACCAACTATCTAAATGCTTTATTACTATATGACTTAGCTCCTGTCTAAGAACTCAATCTTCTGCCAGGATCCTGATAACCTCTATACTCTGATCAATCTGAACCAATTCCATTTCCTAGAATAGTCTTTCCTTTATCCTTCTCTACCTTTGTAATTGCTATTTATCCTGTTTAATTTCAGTGATGTCCCCTACCTTTGTCTTCTTGGCAAACTACCATTCATCATTCAAGATCCCAAGCAAACACTACTTATTAGATTGCATATTGCCCCTGTCATATCCATTTTCTTCTGCACTCTAAGCACTTTCCACGTCTGTAATTTCAATCACACTACCCGTTGCATAGCTCATTACAGCACATGCAACACTCATTTGCAATTATGTACAAGTTTTGTTCATTCTTAAACTATGAGTTGTTTAGAACGAGACTTCTCAAACTTGAGTGTGTATAGGGGATCACCAGTAAGATCTTGTGAAAATATGTATTCTGATTCAATAGGTCTGGGATGGGGTCTGTGATTCTGCATTTCTAGCAAGCTCCCAGGTAATGCTGATATTTGATGCTGTAGGTCCTTGGACCACACTTTGAGTAGTGAGACTTTAAAAGTTACTTATTTCTATTTGTTTCTCAACTTCCTGGCATTGAATTTGGTGCTTTATAGGTACATCAGTGTTTATATATAAATAAACGGTTCGATGGGCATGCTGTCATCCATTCATAAATCTCCAATGCCAAATGGTAAAACTCCTTGGAATTCTTTATTTTCTCTGAGACATTCTTGAATATTGTATGCACTTGGGGCTTTCTCTAATCAGAAAGATATAAAATACGGTGATAAAATTGTAGCTGAGGTTTGCAAAGTGACTGGTCAGAGTTGTAAATTAAAAGGTAAAATGTTTCTGTCATATTTAACTTTTGAAGCATAGTAATATATTAAAGAAACACACATATATCCAATACTATAATTAAATTTTAACTCATAAAAAATAATCAACTCCCTACAGGAACAGAACATTTTCAGTTAAAAAGCTACTTATAATTTCTATAGCCATACAATGTTGAATGTGCTGTTTGATCTTTTAACAACTTTATTTTAAAATATTCACAAAAGAGTGGTAATTAAATTACATCGGTGCCATGGTAACCACTGCATTAAATATGCTTAGATCCTGTGTTCTAGCAGTTTGCTAGGAAAAAGGGGTATTCTATTCTGTGACAATCAGAAATGGTGAGTGTTTAGGTCAACCTCCATGAGCCTGTCAGAAAAGGATGAGACTATATGACTGAAGTTGGATAGGGATGGCAGGCAGATGAGTCCTACGGCAGAGTAGAAGCTACCTTGGACTGAGCATCAAAAGTCTCAGTTTTAGTTTGGGCTTTCCAACTGACTAGTTGTGCATTTTTAGATAAATTGCTTAATTTCTCTTAGTTGCAAACTCCTCATGTGTAAAATGAAAAGGCTGAACACAGGACCAGATGTTCTGAAATTCGACCTAGCCCTTTTCTATTCCATAGCGTATTTATGATTTAATAAACATTACTGATTTTAAAGAACACTTTATAACATGTAATTTTTGTATTAGTTTCCTAGGGCTGCATGAAAATGTACCACAAACTGGATAGCTTAAGATGACAGAGGTTTATTTTCTCACACATCTAGAGATGAAAAGTCCAAGATCAAAATGTTGGCACAGCCGTGTTCCCTTAGGAGCTTTTTGGGGAGAAGGTATTCTCGCCTTTTCCAGCTTCTGGTAGCTCCAGACATTACTTGGCTTCTGGTGGCAGAAACCTGATCTCTGCCTCTGTCTTTACATGGCCATTTTCCTTTTGGATCTCTCTTTCCCACATCTGTTAAAGATGGCAGTTGTTTTGGATTAAAGGTCCATCCTACTACAGTATGACCTCACTTGAACTTAACTAATTAATTCTGCAAGGACTCTTTTTCCAAATAAAATCATTTTGAGGCACTTGGAGTTAGGACTTCAACATATATTTTAGGGGTACAAAACTTAATCCATAACAGCTTCCTTTTGTGAAACGCAAATAGCGTGTGTCTTTCTTCCAGGCTACAATCTGGTTAGAAACTAAAAATCAAAATAATGTGATACTTTGTGTATCGTTTTCATCTCTATAGCATTGCATTGGGGAAAGGAGATCAACACAGTAATTATACCACAGTATCATGAGTATAGCAGTACAATTTTAAGCATGGATACTGAGGGAACAGGATAAAAGAATTTGTCAGTGTTTTAAGAGTATGCAGCATACCTTTGTGATGCCCTGCACAGCAATGTGTTGGACCACCTGGTTTCATCACAGCCGAGGTGTACAATCCATGTACTGTTGCCCATTGTCCATACGATGCATTCACCACAGGGTCTCATCTCTCTGTTTTTTCTTCTTACAGCTGTAGAAGGCTGTTCAGCCATGCCTAGGAGCAAGCCAACAGTAAGGAAGATGAATGCTTTCCATTACAGCTCTCCAAAAATGGGGAATGTGAGTCAAGGTACAAATGTCTATATGTCTATCTTCTGATGAGGTAACCAGAGCTAACCAGCTCATAAGTACACCATCCATTGTTTTTGAGTGTGTTTTTGTTTGTTCCCCTCACCTCTGCCTCCCATTTTCTGTTTTACTTTGCCATCTCCTTTATTCCTGTTTACTGAGATCACCTCCAGAATAAATTTATCTTTACCTAAGAGTCTATCAACATATCTGGGGGTATTTGCTTTAGGGCAACCCAAGTTAAGGCAGAGTATCAAGCATATGAGAAAAATAGCATGTGCAAAGACCCTTCCTTGTGAAAGAGAAAGACATTGCAGCAAGGGTAGTACAGAGAGGAGTATTTAGAGATGAGGCATGATTTAAAAGGTTCATGTGTATTGCAATACTGAAATAAGGATGTTTTCAACCTGTTCTTTATTTAATAGAGACGATATAAGTTTTTATGCAGATGGAGGCATGATGTGATCTGTGTTTTAGAGCAATTAGAGGAGACATGAGAGGCAGGGAGACTAGTTGGGATGCTATTGCAAGAGTTCAGTCACGAAACAGTAAGGAAGTCAATCAAGGTAATGACAGAGAACCACGACTGAAGTGATAGAGAAAGGTCATACAATGCTATTTCATATTGGATAGAATTTATTGACTGCATAGTTATAAAAGGTGGAAAGAGAGAGCTGGTAGTGATTCCCTGGTTTTTGCTTGGATAACTAGGTGGTTCTGATTAAGTGAGGGAGGAAATGCTCAATGGAATAATATGATTGTCCAATGTTATTAGAGACTGTTTAGTTCTGTGTTTCTTAAACATTAATGTGTAGGTAAATTACCCCCAGGATCTTGTTAAAGTGTGAATTTAGCAGTTGTAGACTGGGACCTGTACTTCAAACAAACCCCTAGAGATATGGATGCTGTTGGTCTGTAGAGCACACATGTACAAGTTAAAGACCCTGGCTCTGATTTTCAAATCCAGTATTGGCTTGTGCATTTGCTTAGAACCTCCAGCCCTCTTGATTTTTTTTCCTTCTAGTTTTAACCTGAAAGCATCTTTGGTTTATTTTCCCATAGTCCAAGCTTCCAATTACTGCACTAGTCTTTCCAATAATAACTTTTTCAGTGGTGCATATCTCTTTTTTATTTTTGCTGCCAATATTCCAATCATCTTTGTCCTGGTAGCCCTATCCTAACCCTACCTACCTCTGAAAATTAGTTTATGTTAACTATTGGATTCTCTTTTTTGGCTATGCCAGTTTGGGAACTTTCTATCCTTTTCCCAATTTTATGTCCTTGACACTCCTCATGGCTGTGCAACTCATTTCTTAGGTTCACAGTCTCGTTCAATGTTAGTGCATTAGTATAAGCTCCTTACTATATAGTCTTCCTCATTATGTTACATGTTAACTTTTGCCTTAACTTCTCTGACCTCTCTTTATTCACAGAGAGAATTTAAAACATATATGAAATCTCCAATTCACAGAATAATTAAAACTTGCCTGTCCAACTTGTTAGAAGACTTTTATGTCATAAAGTCTTTGGTTCATATGCTTAAAAGGATTGGGCCAATCATAGGAAGCCTAGAACACTAAATAACTAATGAAAGGTAGCACACTTTTACATTTGTTCGTTCTCTTTTGCTATACTAACTCAACAGGAGTATATATGTGTATGTGCAATGAGTTTGGCTTCTCACGAGAAAAAAAATCTGAGCTTTATCCAGTCCCCGCTTACCATAAATACTATCTTTGTGTTGCTTTGCTTAAAATGTTGTGGGGTTTTATTCAACATCTGGTTCAGTGGCTCTCAACTGGGAGCAGTATCCCTTACTCAGGGAATGTTTAAAAAACTGTATGTGCAAAGAGATTGGGTTGTGACAATGACTGGTGTGGGGGATGTCATTGACATTTAGAGGAGAAATTCAGGGATGTTAAATATCGTGGAATGAGTGTCGTGATCCTGTCCATACTTGTATTTGTTCCTTGTTGAGAAATACAGATAGAATATTATTGCATGGTATGTAAATTTGTATTATGTGAACTTGAAGAAGAAAAAGCACTATGTCCATAAATTATCTATTTAGAAGAATAATGTAAAACAATAAAAATAATTGATCAAACAAAAAAAATTAAACAAAAATTTTCCAAGCAAACAGACATCAGAATGGTATATTACGTTACCACTCTTTCCACAGGGCAGTGGCATATTTGTTGGAAAGAGAAATTTTTAGCTATATTTGTTAGGATACAGCTTACATTATGTGAACTATAGATTGTGAGATTTCTTAAGATTACATCTCTTACATCTCTTCTGTCCACTTTTTAAAATACATAGTCTGAATTAATAACAAGGACCTGCTCTATCTGATCCGTAAATCTTTATTATTTATTTTATTTATTTATTTATTTATTTATTTATTTATTTATTTATTTATTTATTGAGATAGAGTCTTGCTCTGTCACCCAGGCTGGAGTGCAGTGGCGCCATCTCGGCTCACTGTAACCTCTGCCTCACTGAATCAAGTGATTCTCCCACCTCAGCTTCCCGAGTAGCTGGAAGGCACATGCCACCATTCTTAGCTAATTTTTGGATTTTTAGTAGAGATGAGGTTTCGCATGTTGGCCAGGCTGGTCTCCAACTCCTCACCTCAGGTGATCTGTCCACCTCAGCGTCCCAAAGTACTGCGATAACAGGCATGAGCCTCTGCGCCCAGCCCATAAATCTTTTTTCTTCAGACATTTGATATACAACATTATGTGCTGCAGAGAGAAGACAGATCATTAAATTGGGTTCCTGGAAGACTGAAATTGTTACCGCTGTGTGATATTTGAACAACTTAATTGGTAATGTTATAGATCTTTAGATGTTGAGAATTCCTGAGAAGGTAAATATTTGAATAATAATTTCCCAAAAGGAGACTTTAAAAATCTTCTGGTTCTACTACTGCCTGGGGGGTCTAATAGCTTAATACAATTTGAGGGTCATTATGGTTACAGTGAGGCTTGAATTACAAGGGGTCTGAAGATAGTCTATGAAGCATTCATTCTGAGATTTAGTGTGGAGATATGTTTCCAGTATCAGAATGTCAAAAGCAAATCGTAATTCTGCAAGTCAAACCATTTTTCTTCTCTACATTGACCTAAGGGGTCATGACTTTAATGAGGATGATTGTAGTAAAAACAGGCAAGTCCATTGCATCTTCTCAATAACCTTTGTATAACTTAGTGTAGAGTTTATGCAGGGTGGAGGCATGAGGAGATACATGCAAAGAAGGGAGTAGTTTATTATAAGAAAACAAACACTGGATGTGGAGCAAGGTAAACTTAAATTAAAATCCTGGCTCTGCTTCTCCTGAGCGATATGATTTATACAAGTTATTTAATATTTCTCAATATATGCTTTCTTAGCTGCAAAACGGGGACACTAATGCTTGATCTGATCCATCACAGGGCTTGTTAGGAATATTTAAATCAGGCAGACTGTGTGAAAGCAGCTAAGAGGTCACTTTCTGCATAGTAGGCACTCATTATAATTGTTAATTCTGAATAACATGCCACATTTTAAAAAGGGTTTAGAAAGCCTGAGTTTTATTTTGAATTGAATGTTGTGGCACGTTGGGAATTTCTGTCTGTCTGATTGCTATTAAATTTAGAATCAGGTAATTGCAGTCAGAGAGCCAAAGGTCTTAGGGGCATACCATATTGTCCTTCTATGGCCTACCAACAATGTTAGTACTCAGTAGTGGCCAATGTATTCCTTACAGTGGTGTTAAGTCTATCACACTAGATGGATTTCAATGAAATATGGTTCTTGTGAAGAGGTCACAGCAATATCTTATTGTCTTGCGTCAAACAAAGTCACGAGACTAACTGGAAATACAGGCACTAGGTATTTGATCATGATGTAATGTTTGGAAATATAATCCCTAAGCCTCCCATCCTTCCACCAGTATTTTCAAATAAACAAGATAATCAGGATTATTTAAAGTTTGGGGTCTGGTTCTTCTCAGATGACCCTAATAATGGGGCATCCATGGATACTTCTTGGAGTGGTACTTTCTATTATTTTTACCTACCAAACTTAAACATTTATTTTTTTTTCTTTCTAATAATCACAAAGAGATGAACCCATTAAGTATAGTCTAAGTAAAGTATTATACTAACCCTGCTTTTAGGGGGCAAAGCAGGAGGTTTGCAAGCCATATAGTAAGTGAACCACCTAGAGCTTTATCATTTATATTAGGTAAACAAAATAATTATTGTTTTTGAAGCATTTCGTTGTTTACAAATCATTTCTTATACTTTATTTTCTATGAGAAAATTGTAATTCCTATTATTTCTATTTTGTAAACCAATAAACTAGGGCTAAGAACATTAAAGTGAATATGCCAATATCCTTAATTTCCTCACCCCCCTTCTCCTTTCAAGGTCTTAACACATGCTGTTTTCTCTGCCTGGAATTTGCTCCTGTTCTTTGATGTCCTACCGATGTTCCCTCTTGCATAGTTACCACCTTCTCAGCCTTCAGATTTCTACTTAAATCTCACAGCCTCAGGAAGTCGTCATTTTCTACATATCCCTACAATTTTACCTCTGCCATTTTTACACATGCTTATGCTAATTTTCCTTCAAATACACATTCATATAACACTTACCCTTGAAATACACATTCATATAATACTTTTCCTTCAAAATATAACTATGCACATCATTACATCATTATTGGAATGTGTGTTCACCTTTCAATCATGAGCTTCATGAGTTCAAGCTTTCTATATGTTTTATTATCTGCTGTAGCTCAGGACCCAAATTAGTGTGCAGCCCATAATAGATGCTGAAAATGTATTTGCTGCATAAATGAAGGGAACTTCAAACCATATAATCTATGTGGCTTCTTGTTCTGTAAATGAATTAGTTCCCTTAATGGCATTTCCCATTTAGATCCTAAGAGAACTGCGATACCTGGAGTATGCTAGTGTCCATTCTTCACTTCATCATCATTTAGGAAAGATTATTAATGCATCCTACATTTTAGAAAAAGAATTTCTCAGATATTACCTCCTTTTAAACCTGTCTAAAATACCAAGAAGAATCCAGGAAACTAACTACTACTCACTTTTTTTTAGAGGAGGAAACTTCAGAATATTTATGTTTAAGGTTGTGTGTGTGTGTGTGTGTGTGTGTGTATGTGTGTGTGAGAGAGAGAGAGAGAAATTTCCTAAAGCAAGGTAACATGTCTTACAAAAAACATATTCATCTTCTTTATGGGTCAACTTGTTCTTTTTATATAAGTCATTAAGATTTAATTAAAATGAGCCTATATTATGTTAAAATAATGTTTTAACATATTTCTATTTGAACATGGTTACAGGATTAATTTTTTTCTTCAGGGATCAGGAAAAGCTGGTAAAAGTTCACCAACTGGCTGGGACAGGGTCTACATGTTGTTCCCAAATATTCATTCTCAGCTACTTTCTCAGTAAAACAAGATTCCATTGTAAGTTATGATACAATGGAATCTAGGTAGCTCTGGAAAGTGCCTTCAAAATAAACATGCGTTTCTTTTCTCTTTCCACTTCTCATGGTTGGAGCTTAAGCAACCATATTGATCCACAAGACAAGAAGGCATTTAGCATATATTGACAATAGCATGACCATGAGTGAGAAGAAACTAAGACTTTTGATATCCATGGGCCCATCTCATCAGTCCTATGGACTCTTCATTTTCTTTTTTAAAATTTATTATCTAGACTTTTTTTTTTAACACGTGAAGAAAAAAAGTGTCAATCTTTTTTAAGCCATTTTTTCACTTGCTGCTGAATCTAAGTCTAACGATAGAATAGTCAATATGAAATAAAGACCAGGGCAGCCCACCATTGCCTTGAATATTCTGTAATTATTAAGACTAGCAACTCCTGGAATTGTTACTGGCTGTTGTTAACTTTTAAAATTCCACTTCCCAAGATACGAGTTTGATATAGAAATATCAGAAAATGATCACTTATTTTTTTCTAGAATATATGGGGCATGGGAGCTTTCAGGGCTCCGAACATGCCACCAAATAAGGCACTTTAACAACTGAGAAAACTTCAAAAGCAAGAAGATCAGTGCTACCTTCTCCTACCTTACTCCCCTGAAGCATAGTCATAAAGGAATTCTCTTATTTCCCCTGAAAGTAGATCAGAAGACCCTTATTCCAGAGGGGTTCTTTCCTGTAGCCTGAGGCTAAGAAGAATCTGAAGAAACAGGACTTGCTAAATGCCTCTCATTTTATCACTATTAAATCATATCCCCATTTTGCTCAGTCACAATTCTACATGACTGGCCACAAAAATACCCAGTTTTCCTTGGGTCTTTGGGTCTCCATTTCTGAAGTCTCTCATGGCACATAAATCTTCACTTAAATAAATCTATCATGCTTTTCTCTTATAAATCTGTCTTTTGTTATAGGAGTGTGATCCATGAAACTTGCCATAGGTGAGCAGATACTCCTTTTTTCTTCTATAGAGCCCTATCTGGAGGTGAGTCTACAAAAGCAGTTTGGGGTCAGGCCGTGCCTTTTAAGCCATGCTAAGGAATTTGGAACTCTCCATCATAAATAGACCTGCAATAAGAATTAGAGGTCTGTCTTATATCATGTTGGAGGATTTCAGTGAGGTTGTAAAAATATCTTTCTGGTTCTGGCATATGCTCTCTTACATCATTCAGCCCAAAGGAAAATGTCTTTATTCTTTCTTGAAATGCAGACATTCTGCAATTGTGCTTGCCTGCTAAAAGCTGACATGAGAGTTAATTGTTATTTATATTGCTAGCAGTCCAAAAATCAATCTAATCCCACTTCCTCTGCTCCTGAGTGGCTACTGAAAATGTGACACACAGGAAAAGTCTAATTTAAGAGAGGCACCTGTCAGAATATCGAGCGTCTTCCCCTAAGGATATCATCAACTCTAGAGAATTTAGTCTCCTGATGTAATATGTCTAACTTGTCTCATTCGCTGACTATGTTGACATGTAATGCATGGCAGAAGAATAGAAAGGGAAGGAAGTTGCAGAAATTCTTATGACTTATTGACAGTATGTTCAGTGCTGTACAAAACCAGGAAGAATGGGATTTTTTTTTCAACAGGCATTGAGAACAGTTAACAATCACAAAAGGAAAGAATATATTTGGTCCGTTATGTTCTCCTAGCTGATTATTCAAAGATGTGCATCCAGTGTCCTTCCTGCAAAAATGTGTAATCCTTAGAGAACCTCACCTAAAGGGAAAAAGACCCTTTAAATAGCAGAAACACACTAGGTTGCTTAGCTGTTGTGATAAAATATCTTTCTTTTCCTCCTTGTCCACATAGCTGAGAGCCAAACATATGTAGCAACAAACTGAAGTTAGCAGTAAGATGCTATTGATGGTGGAGATCTTCTAAAACATGGAAGGACAAATTATCTCTATCTAGCTATCTACCTGGAATATTCCTGCAGAGGAGAATGCTTCTCTAGAGATATTTGTGGTTCCTATTGACTGAACTGAACTATCGTTGCAGCTCCATTTTACATACTGGACTTTCCAGTTCCAAGTCTACTTGTCCCCTTAAATAAGAATTCTGTTTTTCCTGCTTGGTAATTACTTACAAGATACTGGGATAGACAAAGGAAAAGAAAGAAAGCTTTTTAGTTTCCTTCTGTATCACAGAATCTGTGGTGACTCTTCTATACTAAATTAACAAGGAATTCTTAGTTCCTCATGTCTAAGACCTTGAATTTGGCCATGAATGCTGTCTTTCAAATCTGGCTCTTGAATGTAAGTCTTTTAAATTGGTTTATAATCCTGAGCTTTCCCAACATTAGTGAGAGACTCAGTTCTCAATAATTCCAATTTCAATTGCTTCAGTTTCTACTTAGCACCATTGCCTTGACTACTCCATTATTCTTAGGACTGGCAACTCCTGGAACAGTTACTGGCTGCTGTTAACTTTTAAAATTCCACCTGGCCTTCCCAAGATATGGGTCTGCTATTATTGCTAGATCATAGTGCCAGGTGACACTAAGTATGTGGTCTCTTCCCAAGTCGTACACTATCATGACAAAATCTAGAGATAACGTTAGTGAATAACAGGTAATAATGGGGGCAATATTGCAACTGAGGATTGAGAGAGTCTAAGAAGTAAAGATATAGATAGGGACTTCCCAAAGGCCAGAAATAAGGAAAAATCCGAACATAAGGACTCTAGAAATAGCTTAAGACAAGTTGAGAACAAAACAAAGTAAATAATAGAAGCTGTTAGATTAGAAAGCAATGCTGTTTGTCAAAAGCCAAGTGAACTATAAAAAGAGATAAACAGAAAGGCATAGGCAGCAATATGACCTTAAAAACAGTCAAGTTCTGTTTTGCCAGAAAATCACCTATATAGATTCTAGTCAACTAAAGCCAATGGCAGAGCTTGCAAGAGGGGCTAAACTCTAGTTAGGGGGTAATAAATTCTTTAATAGATTTGCCTAGTATAGTACAGGATTAAAGGTAAAGAAGTCAAATTCTGAAAAAAAAAATTACAGACTTCCCTTTGATGAGACTCTTTATTTACAGGAACGACTTCGTACCAGCACTATTCTTCACACAGGAGCATCAAAGATAGTTAAGTAACAGGGCCTGAAATATAGGAGCTAATGACCTAATTGGGGGAAAGCTCTCATTAGAAATTAGCAGCACATTTTTGTGACCACAATTTAAATTTACTAATATTCCTCAGTAGTTAGTATAGGGGATGGGTTTTTGATAACTGAATGGAGAAGAAAGTAATATTAGTGAGAACCAATAAAGATTTGAATTAAGGCATGCCAGATTGGGAGTGTAGGCATGTTTCCCATTTGAGAAGCATTATGAGATTCATTTTTTTAGAGGAAGGAAAAAAGAAGGACTGACAACCATGTTTTGGCATCTGGAAATGGCTGAAAGTATTATCTGAAAAGGAGACTAACAAAGAGGGAGATTTTCCTTTGTGTCGGAATTGGTTGGGGTAGCAGTTCTGGGCAGCTGAAGTTTATAGTGACTCAATTACCTGTCATCTTTATGTAGTTGTCAGGAAGTTAGACTTGTCAATCATATGTGGTCCATGTGGTTAGTAGATCAATTCAGGCTGAAAGAAAAATCCCTCCATTTTTTTTGCCTTTTTAACATAAGGAAACTGATTCATCTATTAATGTATTTCTTTCTTAGCCTCATACAGATTGAGCTCAAAGAAATAGCAACCCAAAAAAATCCTACTCCTCTGCAAGCAGAATAATCTGATATTAATTTTAAAAAAAATTAGTGCCCAAAGAGAGAGAATAACTTCTTTTATAAATCATTACAAGAGTAGTTTGTGATCACATCTGTATAAGTGGAATAAAACAAAAAATGGTCACAAGTATCCAGATAAATGTTCTAAAAAAATTGGTTTAATTACCTGGATCATTTAAGAGTTCACTGTTTTAAATATGTTTGATTTTCCCCAACCAAGCGTTAGAGTTGCATCAAAAAAAGATTTAGTATCAGAAAAACTGAGTTTCAATCTGGAGTCTTCTATCTAATAACAATTACTATTCAATCAATTCCACACTCTATATTATTCAATTCCAATAGACCTAAATTACTTATCTAGAAAATTTTAAACATATATATTAGCACAGAACACACAGGGCCATAGTGTACCTTGTATCTTAAGCACTATTCTAAACATTTCAAACATACACAATTATGACTTCAACCTGTTGAGGTAGCAACTCCTACTATTCCCATCTTAAAGATGAGAAAATTAAGGCATAAACACTAGACAAAGTTATAAAGTTAGTAAGTGGTAAGTTTGGAAAACTAACTCCACAGAGTAGTTGCCAGCAGAATTGCAAAATCCTTTTATTTTGTGGGAGAGTGTATACTTCTTGAAGGCAGGGATACATTATATTTTGGTTACTTCTTTGTACCACTCCAGATTCTTGTACAATATGTTTTTTACAGATTAAGTGGAGCTAATGATTACTGGAAGAATAAATGAAGATCAGATTTCCAAAATATTAGATTAGTCTATTACCAGTCCTTCTCTTGTTTAATTGTTTGCTTATTTTCTGAATATAAAATAATGAGAGACTATTTTGGGCTATACAAATAATAAAGACAATCCAATTTAAAGAGAAAACAATAATGATGCCCCCTATTTAGTCTCATCTATAACAGTTACTCAGAGAAACTTCCAAATTTCAGTGGCTTAACACAAGCCAAGATGATTTCTAACTCAAAGTCAAAGTGGGTGTTGCTGATTAGTGAAGTCACATCTACTATATTGGTGATAACTGGTCTCATGTCCCTGCCTAGATTCAAGATGAAAGAGGAGCACAGATCTTTGTTGGACAGCTGTACATCTGCACAGTTTCTTAAGACTGAGATCTTACTGCATATTTTATTAGTGTTGTATCATCAGCAGAGACTTACTCTTCTGAAGATATGTCTACATGAACCATAGCACCCATGTACTTTTTAGTACAGAGCAGCAAACATTTTTTTAAAGTACCTATGGTGTGCTTAGTACTATACTCAGCACTGTGAGGCATATGTAATACACAGGATATGGACTCTTAATGAATACTATTACAATGTCATCAATGAGTGAAATAGTAAATAGTTAGACTAAGATGAATGCAATCAATTCCACACTCTATAATCAGCGCAAAATTCTCCAAGCAAGTTACTAAGGAAGGCATCTGGCAGAACTTGAAACATGAATAGACCATAGGTAGGCTATAGAAAGGGGAAAGAAATTTCAACATATAGAGGATAGAGAAAAATTATGCATCATAGTTTAGCTCTTTCAAAAATCACCACTGTTAATCATAAGCCAAATATTTTATGAGATTTTCACAGGTAACACTTTTTATAAATGACAGAAGGCTTTTAGCCAACTGGTGATAAAACTGAATTAATTAAAATTTACAAGATCTCTCAGTGTTCCAAACACCGTACTTTACTCTTCTGCTTTGAAAAAGATTGGTATGATTGGCACAATTTCATCATTTTATCCCATGAGTATAGAGAAATGCCTTTCTAAGAATGTTTTTCTGCAGCACAGTATTTATTTCAGCTGTTTTTTTTTTATTTTTTGTATCCATTTAGTTTAACATTTGGAACGAACTTGATGTTATCAAAGAAAACTGTAGCACAAATCACAACTGTTGACTCGTATAATTTTAAGCTTTAGCAGACTAAGATGGATGACTTCATCATTGAATAAATCATTACTAATCATAATTTGTGTTTGTACTTGGACTGTGCAGTTGAGACTGGCGGCACTACAGCCTGCCCAGAACTAATTGCTATAAATGTGCCAGATGTTGTAAAAATCTGGACACATTTGTGATAAAGCCGAATGGTGCAAATTTGGTATGAAGATAGAAGTGCATGATTTAAGGGTGTAATCTATATTTCTGACATTACAGGTCAAAGATATATAGTAAGTATAGAGAGCCCTTATTAATATTGTAAAAGGTTATTTCCCTTTGCGCTAAAAGTCATTTTTTTCCTTTTATGTCTTGATCCTAATAGATCTTGTCTTGGCTGTAAATTTCTATGCTCCCGCAAAGGACATTGGTCTGTAGAAAAACAAGAAACTGAAGTTTAATTTAGAACACTGTTTTTCTTATTTTGGACATTAACAGAGACACCTGCCTTGTTACACACAAAAGTGCATAAAATAGAATGTCTCTGTTTGTTAAAAGTCCTAAGATTATTAAGACAGACATAATATGTTAGCAGGAAAAAAAATGCTTTGGAACTTTCTGATTTACTTAGAACTAAGCTTCCTATCCCCACATTAAATAATAAGTAAACATTACTTAGAGGTTATGGGTATCAGTATTTCCACTTTCTATGCATTGTTATGGTAATAAAGCCTTTTAGTCAAGGAAAATATGAAGCCATAAAACTTAATGCTCTATTTGAGGAACAATTACAGCAAATTATAAGCAACCGGGTTGTACAAAACTGCGACAAATAAAAATTTAAAGTATAATAATATGCTATAAGCGTTTATATAACTGATACTATCCATTTGTTTTAAGTGTCAGTCTTTCTAAAGATAATTACCAAAAAAATCTAGATTCCCAAAATAATTGTCATGTTGATTACTTAGAAGGATAGGCTTCAAATAAATTTGCGATGAAGGATTTTTAATAGAATTCTGGTATAAAATATATTTTCTACTCAATTTCAGTTAATGCAATAGAGAATCTGTTGCATGCTTCAAAGTAACTGTGTGTGTGTGTGTGTGTGTGTGTGTGTGTATTTAATTAATTTTGCAAGGCAAATATATATTTACTATTAAGTATTTTTGACTAAATATTACAGAAGTTTTACAGACCTTTAAGCATTTTCCTCATAATGTTTTCCAAATTAAAATCAATACGTTTTGAAATCTACTAAATCACTAAATTCACATACATATGAGCTTTTAAATATAGTCTATAAAATTCATTCCAATAAGTGCTTTCCAGCGTGCATTTTCATCAAACCATCAAAAACTGGAAGCAACAAGTCATCAACCATATATTTATATTTTAAGTGAATTAAGTGATGTGTAATAAATAATTATTGATATAATCTCTTTATTAAAACTATTTTCTTGACCTACTTACAATCTCTTTGGTAATTTGAGTAATATTAATATTTAATTAACATTTAATTATATTATTTCTATTTTTGATGAAAATGATATTAATAACCCAATTCACTTGAGTATCATTGCACATTTTAAGTATATATGATATATTTATAATATGCTTTCATATCTAATATGCTTGTTTCCCCATTTATTCTTTTTAAAAATACATTTTCTCTTTCCATCTATTCACACATATTATTTTGGATGCCTTGCAGTTAATAATGAGATACGTTTGTATGTTATTGGTTTACTTAATAACTTTTCAGCACTGCTACATGAAAACCTCTTTACAGTGGGAGAAAATTTAGAATAACTTAAATAAATGTACAGTGAGTAATTCTAAACCTCCAGAGGATTCTATAGGGTCTGTAGTATTCTGTATACATCCTTATTGATTGCATGACTGCATGAATGCAATGCAACAGCATAGCATAGACATGAAACTGAGTGCCTGCCTTATCCCTTTTGTACTTCGCTGATATGTAACCATGCCCATAGCAATTGCTAAAATGGTAGGCCTGACATGTTTTTACATCTTGCTTCACTGGCAAGCACTGATTGGCTCAGAGATAGGCACCTGTGAACCTTATAGTCTAAATATTAATTGATTTTCACTTAAAAGTTAAAATAAGAGAACTAGTGTCTGTATTTAGGCAGTGTTATCTATTGAGATGGGATAAGATTTAGGGCCTTGAGAACTCACTTTGGTTTCCTGTCCCTGCATTAGTTTGCTAAGGCAATGTTGGAGAAGAAACTATTCATAAGCAGATTAAATTTTTATTCTGGGATCAGACCTTCACACACAGAGAATGAACGTATACACCCACACACACAAGCAAAAAAAAACGGAGTATGTAGTCTTTATAACTGAGCACTGGGAAAATGCTGCAACTGTTAAATTTTATATTTAAGTTTCAACCTCCAGGATGTGTATTTTCCTTTCTGTTTGTTTCTTTGTTTAGGATGTCTGAAGGACTGAATTTTTGCATCCTTCAATCACTATTCTTTTACTATAAGCTATTTTCAATAGGTTTCTTTAAGTTGCAATAAAAAAAAACACCCTGATATTGGGGAAAGGGATAGAAAAGGAGCATTTTTTTTTTAATTAGTAAGAAACGAAACTACAGCATTCTAAGATTGCTTTTTGTTGTTAAATTTTTAAATGATTAATTTCAAAGAACAACCAACCAAAAGCACATGGTTGGAAAGGGCAGATATTGGACTTCTAGAAAATGTTTGGTGTCTGCAAGGCCACGGTCCTGGCTCCTGAAAGCAATCAAGAATTCTGGGGCACTCTCAGAAAGCATATCTGATGAGCCATGTGTGAGCCCTTTAGACAATCAATATATTTTATGGTTGTATTTTCTAGATTGAGTCCTCTAAGTGGTCAACATTCACAAGCGTATCTAAGATATGCAGTGAATTTCATAATCTAAGCAGGTAAAGATAGTAAGAACAAAGAAAGTTAGCAAAATACAAAGAGAGTGATGAGAGTGAGTGAAAATGAGACTAAAGAGTGGCCCAGACCTGAGAAGAGGAATGAGAGAATCAGAAGATAACAGAGAAACAACAGCAGAGTTTTTGTGACTTCTTTTATATGCCAAGGAGTCACTGCCATGTTTTAGAATCACTCTCCACAGTAATTGGGCTCTTGTTCACCAATTACCTTTATTCTAGATGGTTCAGTAGCCACCCTTCCCACCCGCCACACTGAAATAAGCTTAAAGGGGAGAAAAAACCTCAGTGGCCCTTTAGAATCTCCCCCTATTGCTAGAGGCTTCATTCTGTTAGGCTTTTCATTTTTTTTTTTCTAAAAATGATGTAACCAGCCCAGATTAATTATATACATTCTCTTGCTTTTTCTAGGAAAATAGTGGAGAGTCTGGTTATTAAAAAATAATACTAGAAAAATTCTGTTTTAACTATGAAATGATTGTGGTTTTCAATTAAGGCTTTCAAAAAATTTTCGATGTTGCTGTGTAAAGTATATAGAATTCCCTTTATAAGAATATATTCTAGGGCACGGTAGCTGATGCCTGTAATCCCAGCACTTTGGGAAGCCAAGACAGGCGGATCATCTGAGGTCAGGAGTTCTAGACCACCTTGGCCAACATGGCAAAATCCCGACTCCACAAAAAACACAAAAATTAGCCAGGCATGGTGATGGATGCCTGTAATCCCAGCTACTCTGGAGGCCGAGGCAGGAGAATCGCTTGAACCAGAGATGTGGAGGTTGCAGTGAGCCAAGATCACACAGCTGCACTCCAGTCTGGGCAACAGAGCAAGACTCCGTCAAAAAAAAAAAAAAAATAGAATGTTTTTATATAAGATTAGTATAATCTTTTTTTTTTTTTTTTTTTTGAGACAGTGTCTTTGCTTTGTTGCCCAGGATGGAGTGCAGTGGCGCTTTCTCGGCTCACTGCAGCCTCCACCTCCTGGGTTCAAGCAATTCTCCTGCCTCAGCCTCCCGAGTAGCTGGGACCACAAGCGCCCGCGGCCATGCCTGGCTAATATTTTTAAAATTTATTTTTGTGATTTTGTATTTTTAGTAGAGATGGGGTTTCACCATGTTGGCCAGGGTGGTCTTGATCTCCTGACCTTGTGATCTTCCTGCTTCGGCCTCCCAAAGTGCTGGGATTACAGGCATGAGCCACGGCGCCCAGCCAGTAAAATCTTCTTACACTGAGCTCTCTTGTACTATTTTCATTAGAAAGAGCCTATGACCAAAGATCCACCAAATTAAATGAAAATAAACTGAAAACCTAAACAAAGTATATCCAGTGTCCTATTCTGTCTCTTCAGAAAAAGGAATCTTTCTGGGTTTTGGTTTCTTTATCACATCTTCTAAATTCTCCCTGTACACATGTCCTTTCCTAAGACAATCCTGTACCCATTTTACTGGGCAGAGATCAGTGTGCTAATTGTGTGCCAAGTCACACGTTACTAGTTTGCAAGGCTAAGAAAGTTTCACGCATGGTTGGCATGTTAGAGTCTGTTTTCTCTTTCCAGGCACTCTGAGTGATACAGATGGCCAGTACATTTTCTTGCATGAGAAGAGACCAAGCCAGATTGGGCACTTCAGTCTCTGTGTCTTCTGTAAAATGAGGGAAATCAATTACCTAATAGGATTCTCTGAAGATTGAATAGGAATATAAAAGTAAATGAAGTACTTACCAAGTAAAAATAAATATTCAATTGATGCTTACTTAGTAGGCATTCAATTAATGGTGGCTCTTGTCATTTTAATATTGTACATTGACACGTATTATCTGGGCCAATAAAGCACAACTGAGACAAATACAGAAAGACATTTAGTTAGCAATATCACAAATTAACCTTAATCTACTTCCAGGTATCTTCAATAGCTAGTTAATCATTTGGTTCTTCAATTGTCTTCAAGCTCTGAGATTTCAGATTTTCAGCTTCTGGTGGAAGAATGAATGAACTTTTGCTCCCACATAATGCTGCCTCCTTAATGCTGGTCAAAGCCTGTCACTTTATTGCGTGTTTCAGCCCCCAAGTCAGAATGCTTTACTTTCTTCCGGGACCTAGCCTGGAAGCTACCAGAGGCTACCAGAAATTTCCAGTAGTTCTCCATTATTATACCTATAGAGACCTCTACCTTCAAGATCTCATATTAAAGGGACTTGTTTCTTCCATTTAAAGTACTTATTTAATTTTCTGTTGCTGAGAGGTAGAAATGATAAAGAGAAATAAATATAGTGAATCTGAGATGTGCTAAGATATCCTAAGGTGACATTAACCCAGTAAGACCAGTTCTCTATCAATCTATCATTATGACATTACATCACTCATTAGTTATTAACCTGAAGAGACATACTTTTACATCTTAAAGATCACAGTAGAGGAATAGACGCTATTTTGATGTCATTACTTTTTTAAAAATTTCTGGCCTGTCTTTTGATTCTCATTTATAATGGACCTAGATTACAATAGCTAAGGTTAATGAGACAATTAACTTTATACACAATACGAATCACAAAGATTGTTTTACTGTAATTAACCATAGTGACTTCTAGCAGAGTTCTTTGTATGCATAAATATATTTTTTTCGGGAGTACTCAAGGCTTAAGGGAATTATTCTGAAAGTTTCAAAAGCATATCAAAAAGCCAGACATAGAAATATTTAATTAAATTTTGCTATGGGAGATGAAATGAGGAGGAATCATGTGAAATGCAAGACTGTGGTAGTCAGCAGTATATCTGTTTCCGAATAGATAGATATGGGCATTCACATGAGAGCTTTGAGTGTTTATCTAGAGCCTCCATTTGACCTTTCCTTAAGTCTGGTTTTCAAATGTGCTTGTTTTCTGACTGATGTATTCAAAATGCTTCTTTTCTGCTGACAGTGCCCAATTTTGTTGTTTTATGGGGATGCTGCTCAAGAAATTTGCAAAGACATGACCAGTAGCTCATGTACAGAAATGGATTTCAGAAATTGAAGAGCTGTAATGTTTCTTGTGTTTTCCTTCCTTATAGTGAAGCTTGTCAGTACCTCATGCAAATGAATTTCATAATTTTAAGGACTCAGACCTTTAAAGGTACACCCACCCTCGAGATTTCACTTGCTTTGGTGGGGCTTTCTCATCTTACATATGCCTGGGACTTTAAATGACTCCTTCAGGTACTCAGAGAGGGTAACGAGCCACTTTGGCAGAGGATAAAGCAAGCAACTGCCGGCTAAATAACAAGTTTTTTTTCATCTTTAAACACATCTCTCGATGATGGTATTTTTATTGTGCTTTCTGTCATTGTTGAGTGAAGCAGTAATTAATTTGCTTTCCTGCTGTTGTATAAAATTCTCTATTTCATTTAACTTTTAAAAATCATTTCAATGCTTTCTTTCTTTTTTTTTTTTCCTAAAATGTCACAATGACATCTCTCTGTACACTGGTGTCCTAATTAGTTTATCGCTTGACATAATTTTAATTAGCTTTATGATATTTCTGGCTGACTTTTCTTCATTGGCAGTTCCACTGTGCTTTAAAGAAAATTAGGATATTTACGTTATAACCTCATTTACATTTTAAAATCTTCCTAACATCTATCACCAAAAAAAAGAGAAAATGTTTTCCCTTTTACTAACAGGAATCTGAAGTTACAGTCAAATGAACAATAGATTTCTCCCCTGATCAGCCCCTTTCTGACACGTGGCCCTGGACAACAGTTTAAAAGTGTCTGTGTAGAGAGGCAATCACTCAGCAATGCAGCCTCATTGCATTCTCCATCAGAACTGGGAATTCCCAGCAATGTCTGCCGACTGAAGTGATGTATGGCCTAGGGGGAGCTGAGGTTGGTTTTTGTTGATGCCGGTATATAGCCCTGTGATGGTTTCCTTATATTATTTTACACTGCTTCTCTGCAGTAGTTTTTCTGTTCTTCTAAATTGGAAACATACTTCTCATTCCGTTCAGCAATTATTGAGTTTCCCTAGTGTTTTAGTGTATAGGAATTGCTTGTAAAATGGTGAACGTTTAATATATCTATAGCCTCATTCCCAAATTACCTGAAATATGTAAAGTAGTAGTTTGTGGTTTTAAATGTGTGGTAGAAAACCCTTTCCTCTCCTTTTCCAGCTCCTAAATTACAATTTGAATCAGTTATTAAAAACCAACATGTGATCTCTAGATCCCACTTTTGCCTTTAAGTACAGAGTGGTTATGGGGGAAACATTGAAATCAGGAATATCTAGGCTGTCTCATCTGTAACTGGGATAAGTATATTAACTTTGAAAAACTAGCAGGTATGTTTTATTTATTTTTTAAGTTCCAGGTTACATGTGCAGGTTTGTTACCAAGGTAAATTTGTGTCATGGGGGTATGTTGTACAGATTATTTTGTCACCCAGGTACTAAGTCTATTACCCATTAGTTATTTTTCCTGAACCTCTCCCTCTTTCCAGCCTCTACCCTGTGATAGGCCTCAGTGTCTATTGTTCCCTTCTATGTGTCCATGTGTTCTCCTCATTTAGCTCCCACTTATAAGGGAGAACACGCAGTATTTTGTTTCTGTTCCTCCATTAGTTTGCTAAGGATAATGACCTCCACTTCAATCTATGGTCATGTAAAAGACATGATCTCATTCTTTTTTATGGCTGAATAGTATTCTGTGGTTTATATGTACCACATTTTCTTTATCCAGTCTACCCTTGATGGACATTTAAGTTTATTCCATGTCCTTGCTAATGTGAATACTGCTGCAATGAACATAATGCATTCATGTGTCTTTATGTTAGAACAATTTATATTCCTTTGGGTATATACTCAGTAATGGGATTGCTGGGTTGAATGTTATTTCTGTTTTTAGCTCTTGAGGAATTGCCATACTGTCTTCCACAATAGTTGAACTAATTTACATTCCCACCAATAGTGTATAAGTGTTTGCTTCTCTCTGCAACCTCGCTGGCATGTCATTTTTTGACTTTTTTTTTTTTCTCACTGCAACCTCCGCCTCCTGGGTTTAAGTGATTCTCCTGCCTTAGCCTCCCAAGTAGCTGGGATTACAGGTGCCTGCCACTACACCCAGCTATTTTTTTGTATTTTCAGTAGAGACAGGGTTTCACTATGTTGGCCAGGCTGGTCTCAAACTCCTGACCTCGTGATCCACCCGCCTCAGCCTCCTAAAGTGCCAGGATCACAGACGTGAGCCACCGCGCCCGGCCTTGACTTTTTAATAATAGCTCTTCTGACTCGTGTGAGGTGGTATTTCATTGTGGTTTTGATTTGCATTTCTCTAATGATCAGTGATGTCGAGCTTTTTTTTCATATTCTTATTGGCTGCATGTATGTATTCTTTTCAAAAGTGCTTGTTTATTTACTTTGCCCACTTTTTAATGTTTTTTTTTCATACATTTGTTTAAGTTCCTTATAGATGCTGGATCTTATACCTTTGTCAGATGCATAGTTTTCAAAATTTTTCTGTTATTCTGTAGGTTGTCTGTTTACCCGGTCATTAGTTTCTTTTGCTGTGCAGAAGCTTAGATACCATTTGTCAATTTTTGCTTTTGTATAAATTGCTTTCGGCATCTTCACCATGAAATCTTTTCCTGTTCCTATGTCCAGAATGGTATTGCCTAGGTTGTTTTCCAGGGTTTTTATAGTTTTGCATTTTACATTTAAGTTTTTAATCTATCTTGAGTTAATATCTAGCAGGTTCATCTCTAACTGGGATAAGTATATTCACTTTGAAAAACTAGCAATTATATTTTAAAAGAAAAAAAACCTCTCTTTTATAATTTCTAATCATTCCTCTAATTTCTAAGTTGAAATTCCAAATTTTATTTGAGCCAAATGAAGAAACAGATTAAGGCATGTCATGGAACTTCTCAAACTTTAGTCATTTAAAATAAAATTTCACATATATCTTAAAGAAAGGAGGCCATGGTATAAAGCAATGGCAATATTCCCTACAACCAAATAAATTAGAAATAACACATGTAACATTGTGTTTGGAGGAAATATGATATCCCTTTACAAAGAGTTACTAAATGATAAACTGATATTTAAGAAAGCAGAGTCTGCAATCTGCCAAATGAAACTTGATTCTCTTGTCAGTCTTACCTTTCACTAACTGTGTGATTATAGCAAAATTAAGTAATCTCTCTAAACCGCAATTTCATCATTTAAGCAAATGGTGCTAAGGTAGATGCTATGAACATGTGCATTACTGAATTATCTAAAGCATGCAAAGCATTTAGCAAAATGGCTTAACAAAGGGACCCCTTACGGATTATATTATTACATTCTTAGTAGTATTAGTATTAGGGCATCTAGCTTTGGCTAAAGTTGGATTAGTATGAGGTCTTATCAGTCTGATTGTATACCATTTGTGTGAATTATGTTTTTTGTCCATTGTATTATCAAGGGTTACCTTTTGACTTGTTACTGTCATGGGGACTTTTAAAACATTTCTTGATTACTTTGATTGATTCAAGACCATGACACATGGAAGAGTTCCTATAATTGTAACAGTCATTGAACAATGCCAGTCAATCAGTCATTTTTCTCATAAACATCTTAAACCTTAAAAGAGAAAATGTGAACTTTTTCTTTCAGGGTTCTTTGAAATTCATTTGATGCCTCAAAAGCTAAGACAATTTGTCACCCCCCCACCACACCATTTCAAACATAAAATTAATGACTTTGCCCCCAAACTGATCAGAGCAGTGTTATTTAACGTCTCAGATGAAGTAAGAGGGGATAGGAATAGTTGTGGATTCTCTGTTAATAGGAGGCTTCTAAGTGGCAAAGCTCTTAATACACCGCTTTACCTTGTCAAGAATTTTAATACCTCCAGCTGGAGTCCTGATGTGCCTCCAGGTAGATCTCACTTGTTCTAACATAATCAAAAGCACCTGGTGCCATAATGCGTGAGTGAGAGATTGGCACCCAGGAATTGCCCCCTGTGAAAATGTCCTCCAAAATCTGATTATTCTAACAGGCAGGTGCTCCCACTCCCTGATAATGACGTGAATGTCCCCAGCCTCATGCTGAAGGCAATCCTCTCCAAGGTCACTCAGCAGTACTTCTTGTTTCTCATGTGTTTGTCATTTACTGTTGCTTTTAAGCACAGGCCAATTATATCTACTTGGAATGCCAGTGTTTCTGAGGTTGCCTAACAGACCGTTAAATTTCCTTTTGCAAAGCTATGGGTGAAATATACTGTAAATTTTCTCATGTAAGTCATCTATTTGAAACCACATTTGAGTTATCTTAGTTTTGCTAACTCAAGGTGGATAATATAAGAAAAAAATACATATTATCTTGCTTCTTCCCCTTCCTCTTTTCCCCCATTTCTTAATTTTTCTTTTTTATTTGTTGAAATTATTAATAGGATTAAATGAGATATTACAAGTAATCACATCTAGTGTGCAAAATACACTGAATGAATAAAATGTCCTAGAAAGCCCAAATCAAATACTTTTATATACTCTAACCCATTAATTCTCACTCTAAAGATTGTCCTCAGTTTTGCACAACACATTTTTTTTCTTTCTTTTCCTTTCCTTCTATCTTTTTGTTTGTTTTTAGATAACTGATTTTACAGTTACAAAATGGCACATGGTTATGGCAGGATGCTCAGAAAATTTCATTTCTTTGAGGACATTGGTGTATACAAAGTGGACTGTGCTTCAAGGGTTGCTAAAAAATGAGAGCTCACAGAATTCTAAAATCATCCCACTCGTAAAGAAGTCCTTTGGCTTTCTTAATCTCTCCTTGACTTTAAATACAACATTCATGGGTTTATATGATTGTAGAGTAGAAAAAGCATATACTTTGTGCTATGAAAGAATTTGCGTTTGAATTTCAACCATATCTGATATTTATTAGTTATGTAACCTTTAACATATTACTTAATCCTCCTTGAATGTTTTTTTTTTCATTTAGACTATATAATCTATTTACCCCACAGGATTATGGTGATAAATTTGTATGTGTGCATGTCTACATATTTATGATTAATTCACAAGGGCAAACTGCTAGAGTTAGGGTCAGAGCCTCTAGTTGAAAGCACGTATTTATCTACTTAAGACATTTACATTCCATATGACATCCAGCTATTTCACAAAGGCAAAAAGTAGGGCTAAGAGGAAATGTGCTATTACTAGTTTTAGATCCATGTGTGTGAGTGTATATTTGCATATGTGTGCATATTTCTCTATGTCAATATAATCTAGATGCATTCACTTCTAAATACTTAGTAAAAATACAAAGAATCAGGTTAAATTTTGTTCGATGATGAAGACTGTGTATTGAAGGAATATTTCAAAAAATACACCATTGAAGGGGGAAAATTTGGAATTGCCACATTTCTATAAAAATAATTTTCACATTTCTATACAAAATTTGTGAGAAGTTTCTACATTGTTTGTGCAAGAAAGGAAGATTGTTTAACTCTTTAAGATCAATGTTGGCCGGGCGCAGTGGCTCACGCCTGTAATCCCAGCACTTTGGGAGGCTGAGACGGGCGGATCACGAGGTCAGCAGATCGAGACCATCCTGGCTAACACGGTGAAACCCCGCCTCTACTAAAAATACAAAAAATTAGCCGGGCGAGGTGGTGGGCACCTGTAGTCCCAATTACTCCGGAAGCTGAGGCAGGAGAATGGCATGAACCCGGAAGGCGGAGCTTGCAGTGAGCCAAGATAGCGCCACTGCACTCCAGCCTGGGGGACAGAGCGAGACTCCGTCTCAAAAAAAAAACAAAAAACAAAAAAAACCATAATTTTTTAGGGGAGCCAAACTACATATGGGTCTGGTTTACTTCAGTATCAGTAAAGATGCCAGATGTAGATATAGACTTTGTTTGACCTATGAAATTACTATGAAAGAATGTCAGCTTGGAATTGTTGAAAGTTTGTTGGAGAATCAGCTTGAAATAGTAGACTTCAATAACATGGAAGGAAGAAAAAACAAAAACAGATTTAAAAAATAGAAGAACTTGGGAATCTAAAGGGGTATATTACAATTGGCCAACACTAAGCATGTGAGCCATCATGCAATGATTCCATGTGCACAAAACATTACATTCTATCTCAACTCAAATGCTGCTTCACAACAATTCTCAACAAAGCCTTCCAGGAAGCCCAACCATTCTACCCCCACTATACCCCTAGATAAATCCTGTCTAGCACCATGATTCTCTACTATGTGGTCTTTCCATACAAGTCATTGAATTGACAAAAGAAAGAATGGAAAAGGTATTGTGTTCGTGGGTTGTTGATCTGAGGTTTAATCCTATCTGGCTTCCCATGGAAAATTTGCCTCAACTTTCTAAAATTTAGCTTAACTTTCTATATTTTGACCTCAATGTTCTAAAATTTTTATAGTGCTTCTTTCTGCAAAGGTTTGTTGGAAAGAGTAAATAACAGAATGTATTCAAATGTGTTCTCTAAATTCCAAATGCCAGAAGATTCTCCTGAAACATTAAAATTTACATTTCAGCTCTCGGTTTTAGAGATTCTGGTTTATTATACCTGAGATAGGGCCATAGAATCTGTGTTTTAGGAAATTACTAGTTGATTCCAATGAGCAACTTAAGAAGGCAGTACATCAACATTTCACAAATAGGTAGAAAGATTAAAGATGAGATGCCAAATATCCTGGATGACACAATGTTGATAATCGCAGTGCCAAAAATAGAAGATACCTCAATGTGAATTAGGGCTAAAGCCCTCTAGAAAAAAAAGTACACTTTTAATTAAATTAACTTAAATAAAAACTTTGCCCAGATAAAAATGGGTCCCTCTTTGAACTTCTTACATTCCCTTGCATAATTCAAATTCCTTCAGTGCTTGAGGGGATGTGCTTGGGCATTCAGAGATGAAAGACAGAATTTCACAGGTAAAATTAATCCAATAAAAACTATATCAATGCCAGTGGAACAGTTGTGCCAGATGTCTGTCCTAGTATCCCTGCCATACCTGCCTTGTAGTTAGCAAAAAATTAGGCCATGAAGTAAAAACATCTGCACACAGATATTGATTGGAATTCAAATTTTTTTTCACTCTTGCTCAATATATCAAAGAAAACTATAGAAGAAATGGACTCTCAAGTGGTCTAGAATCACAGCCAATCAACCCCCACTATACACTTAAATTCTCATTCCCATTCCACTATTGCTAGCTGGTTATCCCTGTGCAAAGTACTTCATCTTTGAAAGTCTGAGTATATTCTTCTATAAAAAAGAGACAATAATTCTTATCTTGCAAGGTTGTTGAGAGAATCAGTGATGAAAACTATTTGTGTCTAGATGATGCCCAACTCTGTCCTTAGCATGAGTGGCTACTGAATTAATATCAGAATTTTCTTTCATTAATTTTGTTAATTTACTAAGAGCAAGGTGCCTGGCACAGTGGCTCACACCTGTAATCCCAGCACTTTGGGGGACCGAGGCAGGCAGATCACGAGGTCAGGAGTTTAAGACCAGCCTGACCAACATGATGAAACCCCGTCTCTACTAAAAAATACAAAAATTAGCCAGACGTGGTGGTGCATGCCTGTAATCCCAGCTACTCAGGAGGCTGAGGCAGGAGAATCGCTTGAACCAGGGACGCAGAGGTTGCAGTGAAATGAGATCGCGCCATTGTACTCCAGCCAGGGTGACAGAGTGAGACTCCATCTCAAAAAAAAAAAAAAAAAAAAAAAAGGCAAAATATTTGTAATTATTACAAGGTGAAGATATTGAGTAAGGCAACACCAGGATGATTTTGGAGTTGGCTGGCTGGTTGGCCCTGGCAGGGATAATAGCCACATTTTGGTCTTACATTGGGTGATGCAGCATTTCTTCCAAAGCATGTACTCTTGAACATACAGGGTTATGAAAATGTTGAAGGTCTGTTTTGCTCATAGAAACTCAAAGGATGAGGCCAGCAGTCATCCAGAAGCTACAACATTTTATTTTTAGGACCTGGCAGTGAAGAGAGGTTCATAGAGGTGAGAAATAAATTAAAAAGTTGTCAGGAAGTCTCTTTGTCCTCTCGGCCTGTGTGGGTAAATATATCTTTATTGGGGAGGAAGGTCTCACATTCAACTCTACCAATCTTCTAACAATATGATTCAACTCCAGAAAACTAACTTTGCCTTTAGGACCAGTCTTTACTTTTCAAGAATTATCCTTCCCTTTCAGATTCCACCTAGGACTCTGCAAGGACTGTTTGCTGACTTACACTGCGACTTCAGTAATTAGGAGCTCCCCTCAATGATGCTCATCTGTTCTTGGCAGGTCTACATTCAATGATTACTCACTTTTCTTCCTCCTGGTTCTCACTCATATCCTAGTCTGCCCAGACCTAACTAGGGACTTGAAACAGTCTTGGTCTGAAATTCGGCTGGAGTGACCATGCAGATGATGAGTATTCTGAAGACATTTTAAAGGTTGGGTTTATTTCAAGTCTGAGACAGACACTAAAGACCCTTTATTTCTAAATCCAAGCTTTTGTGTTCTAAGAGTTGAAATGGGTGATATCAGGAAAATAAATGAGATTAAGAAAAGGAAAGATCATGGAAGGTCAAAATTTTTAACAAAGGCTTCCTTTAAACCTCAACCTGGACATTTACAGATGTATATTTTTAAAAGAGTACGGGCAGGAAAGAAACATTCCTAGTAATGGAACCGCATCGGCAATAGCAAGATGGGTTTACGGAATGTTGAGGACCAGTGACTTTTCTCCCTGTGGGCTGTATCTGCAGAACCTAAGAGTGGACCATCTCAATGGGGCTGGAGAAACCTTATTATACGCAGACTAGTTGTTTTTCTAACCCTCTCTTCAAGAACTGAACTCTACTCTTTACACCCTAAGCCATTTTTTTAAAGTTTTGCTCCAAGTCTGAAGCCATCACTTTCACATTCTTGGATACATAGTGTGAACTGGAACCATTTTCTATCCCATTCATTATAATTTTTCAGAAAAATTGTCCCTGAAATCCCTGTGGCCCCCTCCTCCACAAATTTCTTTCATCTTATTTTTCTTAATAGCTAATGTTGATAAAACTTCAGCACTCGTAAACAGTAGCCATCCTAAATTATAATAAGTTGATTATAAATACATGTTTCTGCTTCAGTAAAGATGCTATGTTTAGTAAGTGAATAAGGTGATGATTTGCTGAGATTTTCCTTTCCCAAAAATAAGGTGGACATTAATTCAAAAATAATTTGTTAATGCATTCAGTAGACAACCTCAGCCTTTATCAAGTCCTCCTGTTATGTAAAAAGTTATGTAGCAGCTCCACATCATCTCCACCTTCATGGCCCACACAGCATTCATAGTCTCACACAGCCTCCTCAACCATCTCCATCAACAAAACAACATTTCAGCTACTAAATAATTTACCAATGACTTAACATAGAGTACAATTTTATGACTCTATATCTTCACAGTTATGTTTCATCTGTCTTGAATGCCACCCTGATATTTTCTACCCAGTGAATTTCTATTTATTATTATCACATATTTTGCCATTATGCCTGATTTGAAATATTTCAATCTGTTCAGATCCTATTAGTCATTAGATTTTTTTTGTATGTGTTTCCATAGCACTTTTTCCTCCCTTAGATTTATGAGCATTGCACCACAGTGAATTATGTCTAAACATGTTTGTGTTGCCCACCATACTTAAAGAATACGAAGCTCTGGAGAGCTGTGTTACATCTCTGTGTATCCCTGAGCCTAGCTCTGTGTTTGACAGAGCAGATATTTAGCTAAGGTTTGTTGAATGATGCATCAATGGACAAGTACATGAACAAGCTAGTCTAAATTGCAATGGGGCTTGAGAGATCCTCTGTAGCCCAGAGGTGCAAATGGGACCATGAGCCAGACTTGCAATGGCATTTGCTTTTTACATGGAGCCTTTGCATTTTATCTAAACACATTGGCTGCACAGCATTTCACCTCTCACTCTCTGGAGGCTCTGGACCTTCCAAATCCAAAGCCAGCAGCCAGGCTGAAAGAGCTCCCACAGCCTTGCTCAAGGCAAACAGAAGTTACCTCTCTTTGTGGGGTTCTCATGAAGTCTTGATTGTTACCGTAAAACCAGTTTGCACATTGAAATAAAAAATAATAGTGAAATAATGTGGCAGAACATAAAAGCTTGGAAGTTCATGTGGAGGGCTGAATTGCACCATATGGCTTCCAGTTCTGTACCTAGACCCAATAGAGTGCATTAAGAAAGCCATTTGGCCAGTGTCCTCTTGTGCCCGGTTATAGAGGGGCGTATGGTATATTATCCCATGTCGGAGTAATTATGAGTTTCCTTGTGTTGATCTTTGTCTCTCTCAAAGTTTTCGTTTTTGGCACAAAGGAAATTTCAGCAGGCATTTCTTGTTACACTTCTGTTCTTTTGCATCTTTCTTTACTACTCACATCTGTAGAAGCTAAGTTGAAGCTCGTGACACAGTTATTTCTTATGAAAACTACAATTTTAAAAGAGAAAAAAGAAAGAATAGATCTTGGGGATTTAGGAATTCACAGTTGTAAAGGAGCTGTTTCGGGTAAGTATTTACTTTTCTTGCCATTGGGGAAGGAATGTGGCAAATGGAAAGAGACCCAGAGGGCATTGAATAGGAAGGAAATAGTATAATCGCATATGAATGGATGATTATTGTGTGATGGATCCTGACTTAGGAAAGTTGTACAGTTAATCTCATTTCACCTTCACAATGTGTTGAATAAGGATGACTTTTTTGTTGTTATTTATCGCCTTCTAGCAGGGTAAGTTATCTGTTGGACCTGCAATTTATTGCCTTTTTCTCCCACTTGTATGTAAACCCCACAAGAGAAGGTAATTTTTTTCGGAGTTTTCATTTAATAAAGTATCTCATGACCTAGGACAGAGTCATACAATATAATAGAAGCTCAATGAATGCTGGTTGAATGAATAAATTATATCTACTAAATGAAGAAATTGAAGATGAGGAAAATTAGGTAATTGCATCCAGGTCACAGAGTAAGTTTTTCATAAAATTAGAATTTTAACTTTTACGTGTGACTGCCAAGACATACCCTTCATTCTGACATCTATTGTACGTCCTGAATGAACAATATTAGTGTTTACTCCCAGGCAGATCACTTACTAGCTCTTTGATCTAGGAGTTGATAATTATTTTTGAATCTGCAAAATAGATGGACATAATTAAGATATAGTTAAATAGATTTAGATTAGGTTCTGACATGGACATAAATATACATACACACTAGTATATATTATCTCACTCATCTGTAAGAGCTCCAAAGTGTAAGTAGTTTAGTCATATACAATATGTACAGTAGTTTAGACATATACAATGCAATATACATATGTATTGTTATAACTATACCTAGTTATTTCATATGTTTAGACATGTACAATACATATTTCAATATTTCAATAGTTTAGACATGTGCAATGCATATACATATGTGTTGTTATAACTAGGCATCGTTATAACAATAACTAGGTATGATTATAACAATACATATGTAAGATAATGGATATAACTATCAATGGGCTAATTGTCATACAATTATGAAATCTATAGAGCCCATAGAATGTGAGACTGACCTTTCATCAAACCTCCAGTCTGTCTAGACTCAAATCCCTGGCTCTGAAACATATTAAATTTGTGACCTTGAACGTACTGTGTAATCTCTTTGAGTCTTAGCTCTTCCTATATTAAATATGGATCATGGAGTCTCCTTCATAGGATATGTTAATCAATAAAAAAGTAGGTAAATTGCTCAGTAAAGTGCCTAAAAGACAGTAATTACTCAATTATATTTATTCCTTTTCATTTTTATCTTGTTACTCAATTGTTCTGTCTTTTTAAATATAGTCCTTATTTCAAAATCATTAAGACCAACTAAATCCAAATGAAATTTTGTCGAATTCTACCTCTATATTTCCATTAACTTATAGATATCCATTTTCATCTCTGGTGGACACATTTCTTCTGGTACCCTATTTTGACCAGTCTGATGATTGTGTATTCTCCTATTTGATTACAATTTCAGGCAGCCAGCAAGTGTTAAGTAAATTTTCAGTCGCCAAAATAATATCCACTTGTTTCTGCTAAAGCAATATTCAGAAAATAATGGTAAACCATGAGAATAGTTGTTAAGCTCTAAATAGCAAGTGCCGAGCCACAGACTGAAATAAAAACTTCAGAGATTATAGTTTATGGACACTCTTCTTTATGCAGATAGATTCTATATAATTTTTTATTTTAAATTATATAATTTAGTGTGTGTGTATATATAATTTTAGATATTTTAACATAAATTGTAAATTTTTATTTGTTTCATGCAATCTAAAGGAAGAAAGGGTAGCTTTGAGGAAACATTATCTCTGAAAGGCATGAAAAAATGCTGAACACGTTGAAATGCAGGCAATGCTCTGTTAAATGCACTTTTTTCTTCCTTTTTCACCTGTAAAAAAGTAATTTATAATAAAAGCTGTATAAACCTAAATATGTCCCCAAAGTTAAGTTCTTGGTAGGTCTTAAATGTGCTAAAAATGGCCTCTATGTGACGTTTTTGCCCCACTTGTCAGTTTCTTCTTAATATGGTTTCAGCGGTTTGAGAGTTGGGATACTGCTGGTAGGCACTTTTCAGCAAGTTTGAAGATTTAAACTTCTCTGCCCTGCTGTTTTATTTCATCGTCAGGATTTCTAAAAGCATGAGGCAGGTGAGATGTGCTTTGACCATTCAAATCTGCTGACACCCTTAAGAGGCTCATGCCCCTCAAAATACTGTGTATTATTATGAAAATAAGATGATTATTAAACAACCACATATATTAATATTTATCAAGCAATTAAATAGAGTTTTGAATATGATAAATGCTAATATCCTACAATTTGAAGTGTAGTTTATGAGACCTTGTGATCCATTAACCACCAGAACCCTTTATAACTGTGGGAAGAGAACCAAATGCTGGATTCTCCATGGATGAAATTTTGGCAATTAGTTATATCTGCAAATGCGTAATTGCAGGTGCAACCCAGCTGGTTAGCCAACAATTTAATATTTGATGCATAGCACCCTAAGTACCTAAGCAATTAGAGACCTGATACAACAATTAATTAGGGCCCCAGATTAAGTCAGGCAAGAAGTGTTGTTACATGCAAAAATTCAAAGCGTAAATGCCACTAAAGAAAATTTAAAAGAAACCCCAAGAGAAAGCATTTCTAAATTAATATATAGAGGACTTTGCAAACTGGTGACCTATTTTGCTAACTTAATCCATTGGGTGAATGTGTATATTGAAAAAAAAATACGTTTTCTTATTTAAAACCAGCAAAATACATAGAAATTCTCCATCATCAGAAGGAATGTCAGACTTAGTCCTAACAATCTTTTGTCAAATACGAATTAAGGAGTTCTTCAGCTCCTCACACCTACCCCATCTGACAGCTCTAAACTTTAATGATCTTTGGATGGCATTAACAAACATTATTCTCTACATTTCTAAACAGAAATGGTTACGAATACACTGTGAGTTTAGAGAAATATTTACTCTTTCCTCAGGTTGTCTTCCAAACCAAGTCTGCTTTACAAGATGGCCAAAACATGTTCTTTCCTCGGCTTTCTGACCACTAACTCCTTATATTTCTGCCCACTTTAACACCAGATCTCTTTCCTTCTTCTACCACCAAGAAAGGTGTCCAGTTGCATTTACATGTGTTGCCTGCTGTATTCTGGCTAATGCAGCATAAAAACAACAGAGCTCTGTCTTGCACACGCTGTTTGCCTCCTATAGCATAACTGTGTTGCATTGTAAAGCTAAAATATATCTTTATTGCCTGGAGTGAGCATGGCGAGGGCAAGGTGACAGAGAAAAGAACAATGAGCAGGACTTTATGAAACATGCATGTGTAATCATGGTGCATCTTTAGAAATAACCTTTACAATCAAACTAAAAAAACAATTGTCATAGTTGTACTGTATAGTTCAGTCCATACGCTGAGGGATGATTAGGGAAGAAATCACTAAAATCATCGGGTCTGAAATCAAAGATTTCTTTTGAACTCCAAAGATTTAGCAAAGATCTAGAATAAAAGTGGACGAGAATCAACAAAAAAACAGAGTGGCAGTGGGCATAATTATGGAATCACAGGATAATAAATTGTTTTGGTTACCTCCTCTTTACCCCAGTGTCGAGGAAGAATTTCCCACCCTAGGCTTAAGGCGATGGTTGAACATACAGCAGCTGGAACCGGACAGATGAGAACAGGAGCAGTTTATAGTCTCACATAAAGTGCTCTCTGTTTATGAGAAACTCACATAGACTCACAGCCCAGGGAAGGAGCACTCTGCACCACATAGGGCTAAACGGTGGTTCCATTCAAGAACAGAGTGAACTACCCGGACTCTGGGAGGCAAACACTGTAGTTACAAGGAGGTAAGGTGCATCCCAGTTTTCAAGAAAGAATGTAATTGTCTTGCTTGAATAATTTCACAGGCTGGCAGAAAACTGAAGCTTCTCCTCAGGGATAAATGAGCACATTCCTAGTCCTCAGCATCGGGGGATGGTTGTTTGGCTAGGTGACCTTATGCACAAAAGCACAGTGGGTGAAGGTCTTTCACATAGGCCCTTTGAGGCTGTCCCCATTTCATCAGCTATCAAAACAGCACACTATATTGGGTTTTAATTTCAGAATTTACACCAGACAGGCAAGCAGTGCGTCAGTACAAAACAATTGTCAATTCTCTTAATGTAGGGGCTATCAAAATATCTGATAGACTAGTTGGCCAGAGTGGGTTTTTTTGTTTTGTTTTGTTTTTGTTTTGTTTTGTTTTTTAACTAAGAGGGCTGCCTCTCAAGACTTGGAACTGTTTTAAAGTAGCAGATATCGGTACTTCCTTCCTGGAAACACTATTGTGCTTACCGCATTCCAAAAAGAGCTGAATGAGGTATGGTTAAGGACAAACTGTGAGTCTCTGGGGAGCCTTACTCTGCTTTGGAGGGTTTAATTTAGATTCCTTATCAGATAATAACCTGCTTTTTGGGTTTCTTTTCCTTTATTTTTATGATAGCAGTAGAACTTGCGTGAGGCCATTCCACTGACATTAACGTAGCATATCTGTTGACACCATAAAGGCTCAGGCACCCGCGTTGACACAGTAATGACTCCTGCGGGGCCATTATTCTCTCTGTGGAAGTATATGAGACACGTGATTGACATTGTAACAGCTCCAGTAAGTTGCAAAAAACGATGGTAGTAGCTCCTTGGGGGATATTGCTAAGGCACTGGAAATGCATGTGGGTACCTTTGTGAACACTGCAGCAGAACTTTCACTAATACTTTAGATTTGTGCAAAATACATACATTCATACAAAGCATGCAAAATACATACATACATACAAAAATTTTTTAAAAGGGTGTGGCTATGACCACACTTTAAAATAATAATGATTGAATATATATTTTATCTATTTTTAAATTGTAATAAGACAATGTATATATACATGCCTGTATATATGCATGTCACCAAAAGTTTCATGTTTCTGAATGGACTATTAAAATCAAATTTACTTATTTTAATTTCTGAAATTTTATAGGGTTTTGGTAGAAATGTGGAAAACCCCAAAAGTTACTGTGGCAGGCAGAATTCTATAATGCCCCCCAAGATTCCCACTCCCTGGTGTGCGTACTCTGTGTAACTCTCACTCCCTGAACGCAGACAGGATCTCTGAATATGATGAGCTATTACCCCATGGTTAGGTTAACTTATATGCCAAGATGAATGGATTTTGCAGATATAATTAAGATCCGAAATCAATTTATTTTGAGTTTATCAGAAGGGTTATTATCCTGCTGGACTTGAATTAATTAAGTGAAAGCCTTTACAAAAAGGACTGGGCCTTTCCTGAAAAGATTCTCCTGATGATTGGGAAGAAGGGGTCGTATTGTGAGAAACCCTCTGGGAAAGCCAGGTGGTGAGGCATTGAGATTAGTCCTGGATCACAGCTAGAAAGAAAACAAAGACCGGCCGGGCGCAGTGGCTCACGCCTGTAATCCCAGCACTTTGGGAGGCCGAGGCGGGTGGATCACGAGGTCAGGACATTGAGACCATCCTGGCTAACACGGTGAAACCGTGTCTCTACCAAAAATATAAAAAATTAGCCGGGCGTGGTGGTGGGTACCTGTAGTCTTAGCTACTCCGGTGGCAGCTGAGGCAGGAGAATGGTGTGAAACCGGGAGGCGGAGCTTGCAGTGAGCCGAGATGGCACCACTGCACTCCCTCCTGAGCGACACGGCGAGACTCCGTCTCAAAAAAAAAAAAAAAACCAAAGACCTACAACGGAATTGAATTCTCCCAATAACACGTGAGCTCGCGAGAGGAACCCAAACTCTATAAAGAAATGCTCCTGGCCTTGAAACCCTGAGCCAAAGAATGAAGGTAAGCTGTGCCCAGACTCCAGACCTACAGAATCCCAGATAATAAATGAATGTTGTCTTAGTTTGATTAATTTGTACTATCGTTGGCCCTATGTATACCTGGGTTTCACCTCCATGGATTCAATCAAACATGATTTAAAAATATTATTTTTAAAAATTGTATTGTGGCCAAGTGCAGTGGCTCACTCCTGTAATCCCAACACTCTGGGATGCCAAGGCGGATGGATCACGAGGTCAGGAGTTCGAGACCAGACTGGCCAACATGGTGAAACCCTGTCTCTACTAAAAATACAAAAATCAGCTGGGCATGGTGGTGGGCACCTGTAATCCCAGCTACTTGGGAGGCTGAGGCACGAGAATCGCTTGAACACGGGAGGCGGAGGTTGCAGTGAGCTGAGACCTTGCCATTGCACTCCAGACTGGGTGACAAGAGCGAAACTCCGTCTCAAAAAAAAAAAAAAGTGTTTTTAATAAATGTGTGCAGACATTTTTCTTTGTCATTATTTCTTAAATGATATAGCTTAATTACTATCTATATAGCATTTACTTTGTATTATAAGTAATCTAGAGATGATTTAAAATACACCAGAGAATGTACATAGGTTATGTATAAATACTATACCATTTAACATCAGATACCTGAGCATCCGTGGGTTTTGCTATCCTTGGGAGGTCCAGGAACCAAAATCCCCCATGGATACTGAGGGATGACTATAATTTGTTATACAGCAATAGAAACTGATATATTTATAAAAAGAGAAAATATTGCCTATAATTCCTTAATATAACTCTTTAGCATTTTGAGGCATTTCTTTTCAGTCCTTAATTTGCTTTTCTTCTAGAAATTTTTAAAAGATGATTGAGGTCACCAAATACATAATTCTGTGTTCTTTAGAAATTAACACGTGTCTATATATACTACTTCAAAATGATTTTAAATGGTTTATTTTCCTTTTATGGATTTTTGTTCTACTCTTTATTCCCTTTTTTCTTCTTGCTTTGGGTTTAATTTGCTCTTCATTTTGTAGTTTCAAAGTAGCAGTTTAGATTATTTATTTGAGACTTCATTTCTTTCCTAATATAAGCATTTAATGTTTTCAAATTTCCTTAAACACTACTTTTGCTACATCCTACAACTTTTGATATATTGTGTTTTCATTTTCTTTAAATTCAAACTATGTTCTAATTTTCTTTATGACTTCCTCTTTTTCTCTATTCCACCATTTAGAATTCTGCTCTTCAATATTCAAACATTTGGCATTTTTTCTGGAAATCTTTCTGTCATTTATTTTTAAAGTTACTTTTTACAGAACACATCTTGTATGATTACAATTTGATTAAAATTGTTGAGATTTATATGGTCCAGGATATTATCTGCCTTGGTGAAGATTTCATATGCACTTAAAAATGATTTCGTTCTTCTGTTATTGGGTGAAGTGCTCTATAAATGTCAATTTGAAAAGGTTTGTTGATAATTGTTCAGGTTTTCTATGTTCTTACTGATTTTATGTCTACTTGTTCTGTAGGTTACTGCGAGAGGGCAGGTAAAATCCCAACTATTATTATAGAGAAAATCAATGAAATCAGTTGGTTCTTTTTATTTATTTATTTTTGAGACAGAGTCTCACTCTGTCGCCCAGGCCGGACTGCGGTGGCGCGATCTGGGCTCACTGCAAGCTCCGCCTCCCAGGTTCACGCCATTCTGCTGCCTCAGCCTCCTGAGTAGCTGGGACCACAGGCGCCTGCCACCTCGCCCGGCTAATTTTTTCTATTTATAGTAGAGATGGGGTTTCACCGTTTTAGCCAGGATGGTCTCGATCTCCTGACCTCGTGATCTGCCCGCCTCGGCCTCCCAAAGTACTGGGACTACAGGCCTGAGCCACCGCGCCCGGCCATCAGTTGGTTCTTGAGAAAGGTTAATAAAATTGACAAACCTCCAGCCAGTCTAATCAAGAGAAAGACAGAAAGAAAGAGAAAGGTATACAACTCATATTACCAACCTCAAGAATGAAAGAGAACAATAATGACGAACTCACAGGCATTAAAAGGATAATAGAGAAATAGACAGAAACACTATGCACAAAATTTGACAACATCCGTGAAATGGAAATATTTATTGAAAATAGGAAGCAACAAATCTCACTGAAAAACTAAATAACATGGAGTGTCACATCTATTAAGAATGCCAAATTTATAGTTAAAAACTTTTCAACAATGAAACTTGCAGATTAAGATGGCTTTACTCCCAAATATTACCATACATTTAAAGAACAAATGATACCAATTCTACACAAAGTAGTCAATGTAGTTCAGAGTGTTCAAACATTTCTAAAATGTGATAAGTACTTGACAGAAAGAAGGAAAACAGGCCAGGTGCAGTGGTTCATGCCTGTAATCCCAGCACTTTGGGAGGCATATGTGGGCAGATCACGAGCTCAGGAGTTCAAGACCAGCCTGACCAACATGGTGAAACCCCGTCTCTACTAAAAATACAAAAAACAGCCGGGTGTGGTAGTGTGTGCCTGTAATCCCAGCTGCTCAGGAGGCTGAGGCAGGAGAATCACTTGAACCCGGGAGGTGGAGGTTGCAGTGAGCTAAGATTGCGCCACTGCACTCCAGCATGGGTGACAGAGTGAGACCCCATCTCAAAATCTCAAAAAAAAAAAAAAAAGGCAAACATTAAAAAGCCTTATTTTCCTTAGAATAAAATAATAAATACTATGCATTCATTGTGGAAGACACAGAAAATGTAAAAAACCAGTTATAAAATGATGACCCAGGATAATCAGTGTCAATAATTTATGTATACATTATTTAGTTTCTTGATTATGAAATTGTATATGGAAGTTGCCAAAACTTTAGGAAATAAAGAAAAAAGTTAATAAAAAGTCACCTACTATTCTCTCCAAAGTTACACTTTGTTAGCATGTCAATATTAGCTAAGGAGAAAGAACAATTAGATTGATATGGACTGATAAAGGAAATGAGGTTTGCCTGACAGATGCAGCTGTGCAGTCAAGAGAAAAAAAGGAAGATGAAATTTAGGTTTTTTTTCTTTTTTGAGACAGTCTCGCTCTATAGCCTGCCCAGGCTGTTGTGCAGTGGCGCAATCTTGGCTCCTAGGTTCAAGTGATTCTCCTGCCTCAGCCTGCTGAGTAGCTAGGACTACAGGCACACGCCATCATGCCTGGCTAATGTTTGTACTTTTAGTAGAGACGGGGGTTTCACATGTTGTCCAAGATGGTATCGATCTTCTGACCTCGTGATCCGCCCACCTCGGCCTCCCAAAGTGCTGGGATTACAGGCGTGAGCCTGGACGAAATTTAGTTTTCAAATGTGTGTATACATTAGAATTATGTGGTGAGATTAAAAAACAATTTGATGCCTAGGTCTATCCTCAGATATATTTTTGATTTATTTGGTCTAGAACGCAGCCAGGTTTGTTGATATTTTTGTCCTGTTTGTTTGTTTAAATTAAATGAGCCCTAGATTCAAAGTTGAATGAGAAATAAGAGAGACAAGTAAAATAGAAGGGTAAGGGATTGGGAGGTTAGCAATACAGATTTGTCCTTGAAATGGAGGTCTCATGAAGAAGATCTCAATGGGGTTAATGATGGCAGAAGAAACACTAAACAGGGCTTCTCAAACTTAACGTGCATACAGATTATCCGATGATATTGTTACAATGCAGATTCTGATTCACAAAGTCTAGGCGGGACCTGATATTCTGCATTTCTACCAGAGTCTTAGGACTACAACTCTAAATAGCGAGTGAAAACAAACAGGAAAGGCATAAGTTATGATCAGAAAGCATAAGGTTTGAATTAGAAGTTTTGAAGTTGAAGATGTTTCAGATAATGGCAATGTTCAACTGTGACCTTGAATAACATAAATCATCAGAACCTAACACATGTTTTGCAATGCTTTTTTTGTTATTTCCAGAAATTTTAAACGAGAAGTTCTCAGTAGTATTACATGGAAGTATTTCCTTCTATTTAGTATCTGCTTTTATTCTCACAGGCAGCTGAAGGTGGTTTGGGTAAGACAATGTATTTATGATTTTGTAGACCAAAAATACAGTGTGGGAGTTGACTGTGGTTTGCATACAAGTTTGTTTATTCTTGCATTTGAACATGGACAATATGAATTTTTGCCTCATAGTGTTCATATGAGAATAAAAAATTGGCGGGGCACGGTAGCTCACGCCTGTAATCCCAGCACTTTGGGAGGCCGAGGCGGGTAGATCACGAGGTCAGGAGATCGAGACCATCCTGGCTAACACGGTAAAATCCTGTCTCTACTAAAAATACAAAAAAATTAGCCGGGCGTGTTGGCGCGTGACTGCAGTCCCAGCTACTCAGGAGGCTGAGGCAGGGGAATCTCTTGAACCTGGGAGGCGGGGGTTGCAGTGAGCCGAGATCGCGCCACTGCACTCCAGCCTGGACAACAGAGCAAGACTCTGTCTCACAAAATAAATAAATAAACAAATATGTATACATGTGTATACATATGTATGTATATATACACACGTATATGTGTGTATATATACATATGTGTGTATATATATGTATATATATATGAACAACTAGGAAAAGAGTGTTTATAATTTTCATGGGAGAGACCCTTGGATGGATGGTCACTGTAGGTCATTTTTTTCCCCAGTAAGGTTGATATGGAGTAGTAGTTTAATAAAAATACCCCAGCATAGTGATAATTGGCCACAGGGGGAAAAAAGGTAAAGGTAAATCCAGGACTACATATGTCATCGATACAAATATAAAACAGACCAGGATGGAGGAATGAGCAAGGTAGGACACAAGATAATAGAAGGGGCTTGCACCTCATCCAGTTGTAATGTTGATTTATATTACCCTGATTCAAGCTATTGCTGAAGTTCTCAACAACGTAAAGATGTCTAAGATGATGAAATGATACACTTTGTCAGATACTTCTATTTCAGAGATCACAGAAACTAAAACACACACAAAACACAGCGAACTTACAAGGCTCTCTTTAAAAGACTAGAGGCTTAATTTAACTTAATTAATTTATTTATGTATTTATTTTGAGACAGGGCAGAGTGTCAGTCTGTTGCCTAGGCTGAATTGCAGTGGTGTGATCACAGCTCATTATAGCCTTGATCTCCCGGGGTCAAGTGATCCTCCTGCCTCAGCCTTCCAAAGTGCTGGAATTACAGGTGTGAGCCACTGCATCCAGCCCAGAGGCTTAATTTTACAGGATATTTAATTTTTAATGTAAAACTTTTTTCAATGGAAATTCTACTTTCTTTAGTCTGATTTTAAAACATTCTTATTTAAAATTTAAAGAGATGCCACTGTACAGTTTGCAGAATTTTAAAAATCAAATTTGTTTAAATTACAGAGACTTGCCAAGTATTAATTTTTCAGCATTATTTTAATTTTTATTCCCTTAAAAATATTAATATAACCATCTCCCTTCTCTATAAACCAATACATATCAACTTTTCATACGTTTTGTTGAAGTAAAATGTCCAGGAAGTATAGTGTTTATGTCAAAGTGTAGAGCTCAATGGATTTTCACACTGAATACACCATGCATCATGCACCACAGATAAAGAAAAAGAATATTAGCAACTTCCCAGAAGACTCCTCATGCTCTTTGGTTATCACTACCTGCTTTAGGGAAATCATATCATGAAATCTAAAAGCATGGCATAGATAAGCTTTATCTGTGCTTGTCCTTTATGTTGATGGCATCGCACAGTATTTTCTCTTTTGTATTTGGCTTCTTGCATGCAACATTGTGAGATTCTACATATTGTGACGTGTAGTTAGAGATCACTGATTCTCATAGCAATATAGTATTCTATTGTTAATACATCACAGATTATTGATGCTCTATTTAATAGGTGTTTGAGGGTATATTATGAATGTCATTCATAGAGAGTAGATACCGATTTAAGGATATGTTAAGGAGAAACATTTCTGAGTCATAAGAGTGTGTGTGTGTGTGTGTGTGTGTGTGTGTGTGTGTACTCAGCTTTGCTCTTTGTGTGTGTATGTGTGTGTGGAGGGGGGGAGTGTGTGTATTCAGCTTTGCCCTTTATGTTATGCAGTGTAATGCTTACATGACCTAGGTAAATTTCTACGCTGCTGTCAAAGTTTCCCCCTCATCACCATAGTAGCTAAGACTGGTGGGATTCAAGATGGCAGCTCCCTTGACCTCTGAAGAACCTCTAACTTAATTATAATCTAATTTCCATGGCAAATGACACTCCCAACAGTGCCAGGACAGTTGACAATCACCATATTACCATGACAACATCCAGAAGAAACCATTAAAGGACAAAAAGGAAGGTGGCAACTCTGGATCTGAAAAGTCCTCTGCCCATGTCCAGAAAAGATGAATAATCTTCCCTTTGTTTTAATGCCTCATCCTTTCATTAAAAACTCCCTTTATCTATGATTTTTAAGCTTTCATGAGCTGAGAAGGATATCAGTGAATCAAGCTTCCACTTCTCAATCCCATGGCCATCGAATAAAGCCTGCATTACCTGATGCTCACTTTTTGTTTTATGTATTAGTTTCATGGCATCAAACAAGGAAAGACAACCATTTTTAGAGGGACTGGATTTGTCAGTAACATTTAGCGTTTCCCAGCCCAGCTCTCTGGGTTTGAGCTCCACACAACTTCAATGCCCAGTAAATTTCTTGAAGGAGAGGCTGGTAGTGTGCTTGAAAGCTAGTTTCTCTCCTCCCAAGTTGGGTCTTTGTTTCTAAAGACTGCTCAGGATTTCATTCTGCTTTTTAGATGTCTTTATATTACCTACCAGTCGTCCCTCACTATCTCAGAACCCGGGCAATGTTCTATGGGGAAAGATGACTATGTCCAAGAAGCCCTTCACCCTCTGATGTGTAATCTACTTCACAATGCTAAAAGAACTGCTGGTTTGTTTCACCCCAGCTGTCTGGGCCTGGGACGAACAGAATAGACTGCTTCTCACGGTCAGGAGGAGTTACCTGGTACCTTTAGAATCAGTGAGGTTTTTTTCCTTACTGGAGTGTTTGTTATATAATCCTGTAGCTACTGCATTTTGATGCCTTAAAAGTACATATTTTGGTTTTATAATTTATCCAGCATACTCTAGTTGTGCAAAGGGGCAAAGAAGGTGCTGCTTTGCCACAAATTAATTCATCCTGTCTGGTCACAGAGGTCCTCATCTGCTTTTTAAAGATGGGTATATTCAAAGTGAAAAACAACAGCATATATGTAAGCTAAAAGGTTGGAGACAATATGAGTGTCTAAAATAAGGATATAAGACCGAGATATCCTTTGCTCAAAAAGGAATATGAAAAATATTCTTAGCATTTTTCTTCCTATGACAAGTCAGTACATGGAATTCTTGATGTTAAGGTGAATGAACACCGAGTTACAAGTAACTTTGTGATCTTAGGGAAGTCAAATACATTTCCTGGGACTCAAATTTCTCATTTGTAAAACCGGGCAAATATTTTTTCATATTTTCTTTATGCAGAGACTGCATGTCAAATCAGATAAGCCTCTGAAAGCAAATTAGAAGGCAGTTGCCTCTCTTGAGATATGATGCCATGATAAGCAGTCCACTGACTATGTTAGCTTATTTTAAGTTGATCTTGGGTTTGCATAAATGGTTACAGTAAGTCACAGTAGATGGATTTGCTGCTGACACACACAGTATACAGTGACTGGTTTCGTGACACAGATCATTGAGAGTTTCAGTCTGAGTCTTCACACTCCTTCAAAGACTTTACTGTTATCAGAATTGGTAGACTTTTCAGGAGAAAATAATTAACTCTAAGGGATTGAGAGAGCAAATTTTTGGTGAAAAAATATTTCTCAGCTAAATATTTACTTAAAAATGTAAGTGAAATGAAATAAAAACCTCTTAACACAAATAATTCTTTTTTGTATGTTTTCAAAATAATGTCTTAGAATTACATAGCCATTATAAGATGAAAAATACTTTAGTTTCCTTATGTCAGTTGATCTGTATTTTTCTATGCTTTTATCCTCATATTATAGAAGGAAATAAGATCATGACATGACCAGAATGTGGCAGCAACAGCCACTCATTCTTTTGACTCGTAATTTAGTCTCACTCCACTTCTAATAAGTCAAATCTCCATGTTTTAAATTAGTATAAGGAGTGGAGGCCAAATATTTGGTAGTTATTGTTTCTAGATGGAAGCAAATATTATATATGTCAGTAAAGTTTTAGAAAGCCTGGATAACATATTTTTAAATCATAAATTCCAATATATTAACTCAATGGTAGAATCAATTATATTTGTGCTTTGCCTTATGTTTCTCTACATGTAGTTACAGTTATAATATACATACAATCTTATACCAGGTATTTTCCAGTTAATGTGACAGCATTTTCCTTTTCCCATGTACTTATAGTCTTTGCTCTGATTTTGATTTTAGAATGTATACAATAAATCATTCAGAAGGTGTACTTTAAGTTACCTAACTTGCCTCCCTTTCTTGTACTCTAAAGTTGCTGATCATTATTTTAATGTAACATGTATATATATATATATGCTCATCACAAATAAAACTTACACTAGAATCTTAGAAAAGGCAGTAATAGGTCAAAGAGAACAAACATTTATATGGCTCTTGATAAATTGTTTTAAAATTCTATCCCGAATTGAAGAAAGTAACTTAAAAATTTTGCCAGAAATACTTGTGAATATCTCTTCCAGGCACAACTGTGGCCTAATAAATAACTTGGAGGCTTAAAACAATAATAATAATTTTATTATTTCTAGTGGTTTCTGTGGGTGAGGATTTTGGAAGGAGCTTAACAAAAGTTTTGTCTCAATTTTTTTATCAAGTTGAAGTCAAATGGTGGCTAGAGCTGGGCCTGAACTATTGTCGCTTTTTCTTCATAGATGTTTTCATGGTTTGAGTTTCCTCACAGCATGGTGTCCTCAAGGCTCTCATATTGCTTATAAAATAGCTGCGGTCTCCAAAACTGAGTGTTCCAGTGAGCAATGAATAGACTCAAAACTTATAGGGGCTATGAATGAGTCACAAGCCTGGCCAAATGCAAGGGGAAGAGAAGGGGATGCTACCTCTTGATGGGGAAGTGGCAACATTCCAGAAGAACATGTGAGTTACCAGATATCATGAAAGCATTGCCCCTGATGGCCACTGCATCAATCTGGAGGGAGTGTATAAAATTTTGTACAAAATTTTATTTCACCATCACACATTGGTTCTTAGGTAATTTTGATACAGGGCAGACAAGTCCCCAAATTGGGGCTGAGCCTGGGAGGGTTCTTGGCTTCATTCAGGAAAGAATTCAAGGACAAGCCAATGGTGTTAGACACCAACTTGACTGAAGCAGCTGTGTACAGCAGTTGCTGAGGTACTGCTCCTTGTAGAGTGAGGCTAATCCATAGGCAGTATGCCCAGAGTAGCAGCATAAAGGATGTTGGCTGCTGTATTTATACCCACTTTTAATTATATGCTAAGTAAGAGATAGGTCATTCTGACTTTCTAGAAAAGGGGCGGGTAGTTTCTGGAATCATATGAGGTAACTTCCAGGCCATTACTATGGCCCGTTGCCATGGCATTTGTAAACTGTCATGCCGCTGGTGGGAATGTCTTTATGCTAATGGCAGTGAGGGTGACTGGAAGTTGCTTCTGTTGCCATAAGCTGGTTTAGCTGGCTTTCTCATTGCATCATATTTTGACCAGATCCTGTTCTGATTAGCAGAGTTTTGACTGAGATTGTGACCAGTGCTTGGAAAACAAGTCCTGCTGATCTCCTAGCTGAGTTTCCCTAGAAATCACCCATTCCAGCTCTAATCATGGCCTTGACACACGACCCCTTCCAATGCTCTTCTAGCTGTTTAGAAAGAACAGAATTCAAAATATTGTGGGCACCAACCTACTGCCAGCAAGATAATTCTTTTTAAATATTATGAATATATTAGGTAGCATTGAAGTTTCTTAAAATGATTTATATATTATTTCCTAATTTTATTTATTCCTTTATTAATTAAAGGTTCATATCATTGGCTGTTAGAATCTAAATATTCTTCCATGGTGGTGGTGTACATATATTTATATACATGTTATATATGTATGCTATATATGTTATATATACTCCTTCTATATAAAAGTATCAGTAATCCAGTGTTACAATTATTATGTTGTTTCAGTATTACTACATGCCTTCTAATTTGTATGCAACTATGATTATTTAGACTATCCAGCAAGTATTCACTCTTCTTTTCCTTCTCCTGTAGACAGAATTCATAATCCCAGCCCATTAATTTCAAGTTTAGGCGAGTAAACTTGCTTTGTCCAGTAGTCATTATTCAAGTCCAGGCCTTAAATATGTTTACACAGTTTGAGTTGGCACTGGCTGTGCCAGTGATCTAATATAGGATAAGAATGTCTTGAGCCATTTCCCCTTCACCTTTTGTCTAAGAATGAATACACATGGAGATGACCCAAACCCAACCTTCAGTCTGAGCAGTACTGCTCAGCTGAATTCATCCTAGAGAAACCAAACCATTATTGACCCCACAGATCCATGAGACTAATATAAGCACAGGTTTTCACAGGCCCCAGAGTATAGGATGGTTTTTTCATGCAGTATTATTTCAATATCCAATTAATATAATAACTAAACCTGAATATCATTTTGTTACTGTCCACAAATGCCAATTTTTCCTATTAACACAATTGCCCCACTTGATTAATTAAATAAACATTATAGATGTACGATGCAGGCTCATCTGTATGAAAAACAAGACAACATGAATATTGTTGCCATTTTTCCAGCCACTTTTTGTATTTACCAAATTAGGAATAAGGATGGGCAACCTTCCCATTAAAAAGCTATGTTGGTGTGCCAGCTGGCTCAGGGCCATGATATAAGGGCATAGTAACGAATGAGGCAGAAGTAAATGGCCACCATCTGGGTAAAGCTCAAGTGAGCTTGTTTGGACAAGGCTCCAGGGTCAAGTAAATGAAACGGACTTTAATTTCAAGATGCAGCTGTGAGGCAATAATCCCCCCTCCATCCTGTAAGCCATTGCAGGTGTGGAAAGTCAGCAATATGTTTTCAAATGGGGTGGGTTGAAGTTATGTCTTGAAGGCACTGGCAGTTGTCATGTCTGAAGAGCCATGTGAAGTGGCCCCTCAGCAAGCATCAAGAAATGGGGAAGTATTATTAGAGCTTGTCTGAGCCAAAAAAAAAAAAAAAAAAAAAAAACCAGCATGGGGGTTACACTACAAAAGAGTGTTTCTGCAGGGCTTATTAGAACACACTGATTGTTTTACCTCGCAACATGGATGACTAAGAATGATATTTCACTAAAACACCTGGATTGCTAGGGTTTTGTTGCTAAGTTCTTAAATTGGTAGAGAAAACAAGCTAAGCATCAGGATCATGGTGATTAATGCTTCCCTCTTGGGCAATCAAGCTCCATGCATTCCGCAACACCTTGGTTTTGCTGGAATGCATTGAATGATTTTAAAAAGGAGGCAGACACTAGATTTAAGTAAAAAAAAAAAAAAAAAAAAAAAAAAAAAAAATCAGTGGGCTAATTGGGTCCAGGACCACCTTGTGCTGGGGTTCATATTTGGAGCATTTTACATGGGGATTTTTGACTCTGTCCTGTTGTGTGATCTGGCCAGCGTAATAATCTGCAGAACAGTGATTAGATTGCTCAGAATAATAATTAATGGCCTAAAACAAAACATCTGTGTCCCCTAAAATGCCTATGCATATATAGTGTAGTGGCTGACTGGACGGCATACAATGGTAGGAATAATAAATTAAGTGGTCAATAAATGTCAGATATTAATAACGCAATTTATCATATCTAAAATTTCAAGAAATTATTTATAAAACTTGACAATATAGAAAAAAAATTGAGAAATATGAAGTGGCTTCTGGTGAGGATGGGTGGATGTTAGGACAAAATCGTCACATTGAGAACCTTGAGTGGGAGTAGCTAGGGAGCTGCCAGGTGAGGTATTAAATTTAGTAAAATCCAGCTGGGCGAGGTGGCTCATGCCTGTGATCCCAGCACTTTGGGAGGCCAAGGCGGGTGGATCCCCTGACATCAGGAGTTCAAGACCAGCCTGTCCAACATGGTGAAACCCCGACTCTACTAAAAATACAAAAATTAGCCAGGCGTGGTGGTGGGTGCCTGTAGTCCCAGCTACTCAGGAGGCTAAGGCAGGAGAATTGCTTGAACTCAGGAGGCAGAGGTTGCAGTGAGCCGAGATCACGCCACTGCACTCCAGCCTGGACAACAGAGCTAGACTCCATCTCCTAAAAAATAAATAAAAATAAAAAAATAAAAAATAAAATTAGTAGAAGCCAGGGCAAAGCCTGAATAGATGATTTACATAAAAGAGACGACATTAAGTCATAAACTTTTCCAATAGCTCCAGACATGCCTTTATGAACCTTTCTCACTGTTCTTCTGGCCCTGTCTGCCTCCCTCAGAACTTCTTGGTGTTGTGTTAGTGTGTTGTTTAATCACTGGAATAAGAGCTTCTAGAGAGCAGGACTAATGTTTCATTTTCCTATTCCTTTTCAATGATTAGCACAGTGCCTTGTCATGTCATAGATGCATGGATATGAAGCATTGAAAATAAGTTGTGAAAAATGACAAAATATGGGAAATGTTTGTGTTATAGCATTAATGGACAAAACTATAAGTAAAATTGTACACATGCAACAGTTTCAATTATGTAAAATTATAAAATTAGTACACAATTGACAGAGAGAAATATGTTACAGGTAAAATAATTGTGTGATAAAGTATTTTGTTGGTAAAATGGTTACTATGTCTTCTAAATTTTATGTAACTACAATTTAACTCTGATAAAAATTGGTGAATATAAATTGATTTAAAATGTATTTAGGATTTCCTATGTAATACAAAGAACTCTTCTAACTCTGTAGCATATCTCTTCTAAATTATCTTATAATAAGAAATGTAGACTATCAAAATATATTATTGAAAAAATACATTCTCAAATTCTACATAGATGCAGCTTAAGATGAGGAGCATGTATTCTGTATGTAGGTGGGAGGATAGGGGTAGATAGCACAAAATCCTCAAAAAGATTGCAAATGAATTGAGTCTAAAAAGATGATTTTTTCCTAGGCAGATAAAAGGTTATATCCAAGAGGAACTAAACTTTATAAGCAAAAATATAATAACAAATTTAAGTAGAGAAAGGAAGCTGTTACAGCAAAGGTGATTAAGTGGGAATCTTAGATTGTGAAGTTAAAGAAAATGGGAAGTCAGTGAAGTACTTTGAGAAGAGGAATAAATAAAATACATTTAAATGTTAAAGGAAGGAAAAAAAAGAAAGAGCACAGTTTCAAGAGGAAGAGATGCCCTACCAGATACATGCATCTTCTCTGTAGTATCAATTAGCAGTCTTGATATATGGTCTTAACCAGGGCCATACACTTAGCCTCCCTCCTTTGTCAACATCAGTCCAGTGAAAAGGGGAAAATGTCAAATTCTGTGATGAAAATGTGGTCCTTTTCCTGAGTGAGATTAGTTCATATGAGCTGACAATTCATCACTCTGCATCCATTTTAGAAATGACTGGAAATTATTCTGCTGGGAGAAGCTTGGATGAAGAATTGGTTTTGGGATGCTGGTGCCTGCCCCTTACAACCAGGCATCCCTTTTCAAATCCTGGTTGCCATAACAACCAGACAGCACTTTTGGTCCCAAACACAACAGACTCCTTTATGGTGATGATTATTATTAGTCAGTTTGCACTCCAGGCAGAAATCTGATTTACTTTCCCTGAGGAGACTCTCCATATGACATGCAAAATGTCAGGGAGAGAATAATACAAACTAGAAGTTTGGAAGTGCTACGAAATAAAACATGTATGGGGAAAATGCGCCTTGTGAGCCCTTTATTATTTTTAAATGAAAAGTTGTCAGATTATTCAGTTCAAAGTGTGATGTTAACTGTGTCATGCCTGTGAGCTACAAAATAGTTATTGTGAAGGCTGTGCCTGTAGATTATCTATTATGGCGTGTTTGATACAATGTGACACCTGAGAAGTTTGAAGGTGCATGGATTTTTGACATTGTGCTGTAGAACTATTGATGGAAGCTGAAAATACATAAAGAATGAGGTGTTTTCTCTAGTACACCAGTCACAATGAGATACGTACCTAGTTTCCTTGCACAGTTTAAGAATGGGAGAAAAGCAATTTCACTCCCAGAATACAAGCGATCACAGTGATTATGAACAAGGTGTCCAGTTCCAAATGTACTGCTTCTGAAAAGTAGAATTTAAGCAGTTTCCTTACTAGTCAAACTTAGCCAAACCATTATTTTAACCTTTAATGAGGTTTGACCTTCAGGCCAAATCAGAAGAAGAAAACTTTTTGGAATCTCTTGTGTGGAAAAAAAAAAATTGCATCTGCTGTTCAAGCTAACTATTTCTTTGTGGCATGTTTATCAGTAATATGCCCCTGACCAGCAAAATTGTGTCCTTGAACCAGGGATATAAAATGATACTATTAAGGGAGCCAAGCCAAGTCTGGTCAAAGAAAGCCATTTATTTTCACTGACCCAGCTGGTCAAGTGAATTTAAGTTCAGCAGCTTGGCTCACTTGGGAATCAGGCACTGCCATCATGCCTGTAATTACAGCATGAAAGTGATTTCCAGGAATGAATAGTGCAAAGGAAACAGACTATCCCTGGCAACACTATACTTGAGTATGGGAGTGCTGGAAAGGTAAAAAGGAAGCATATATTTTTATGTGATTCATCTAATAAAAGCAACTTCCATTTGTATCAGTTTTTTAATATATAACAAACCACCCTAAACTTAGTGAATTAACACAATAAACATTAATTATTTGCTTGGAATTCTATAAATTGGCTGGGAAGTTCTAGCCTGGGCCAGCTCATGTAGGGCTAGACAGTTCAGGATGGCTGGGCTTAAATATATGGAATGTCAGCTGGGACTATTGGGCGAGCTAAGATAAATGGGGCCTTTATGTAGTTTCTCATCTTCTAGGAGGCTAGCTGGAGCTTCTTCACATGATTGTTGAAGAGTTCCCTGCATGAAGAGTGGGCAAGCTCCAATTTTCAACTTCTTCTTCAGTCATGTTTACTATGATATAATGGTAGAAGTCGTATTGCCAAGTCAAAATTTAACAGATGGAGAAATAAACAATCTATTGATAAGAGGTACAGCAAAGAATTTGTGGATTTCTTTTCCAATGCACTACAGCATTCTTACTGTAATTGGAGATTACCAAATTGCTGCTGTGCTTTAGCATATTTTAGTTTGGATAGTTTTTCCCTTTAAAGAATGTTTCCGAATGCATTTAAAGGTGAAAACAGTAGTATCAAATTTATCAAGGTTGAACATACAGTTATTACTGCTTACATAAGATCTCAATTGCATGATTTGTAAATTGAGCAACCAAATAGAATTAGCTGAGTTTATCTTGATTTTATTTCATCTTATTGTTCTTTATAACACAAAGTAATTCTGTGATCTGATTTATTTCCATCACAGTGGCCAACTAGTTTGGCAGAATGCAAAAATGTCTCTGTATCTGCTAGGCACAAGTATGGAACATTTTCTTGCCCTAATTTGAGGTTATCAATAAATATTTAGTATTATTTTTATCAATTTATTTTATTCATGAGGGGTGTAAGACTACATATTTGAAAGATATAGAATTAAAACAAGATGTTGTCACCTAGTGTTAAAGTCATATATTCTGCATAAAAAATTACTCCAAACTTGGTGGGTTAAAACAACAATCACTTATTATCTTTCACTGTTTCTGTAAGTCAGGATTTAGAAGTGACCCAGCTGAAAGGTTCTGGTTGATAGCCTCTGATGAATTTGTGTTCAGAATGTGGCTGGGGCTCAGGTCATTTCAAAGGTTTCTTATCCCACGTACCTGAAACCTCAATTGGGAGACACTAGCAGAGGCTGGAACAGCTGGGGCGCCTTGGCATCTCTACCTCTATTGGTTTTTTCATAGGTTCTCTCCAGCATGGCATCTTTAGGGTGGCTGGATTTCTTATATGGAAGTTCAGGGCTTCAAAGTAATGTTTCCCAATAGGGAGATAGATGGAAAGTGCATCTTCTAATCTATCCTTGAGATTTCCACAACTTAACTTCCTGTATATTCTATTAATCAAGCCAGTCACAAAAGTCCAACCAGATTCAAGGGGAGGGATGTGGACTCCAGTTCTTGATGGGAAAGTGACAAAGTTCTGTAAAGGTCATGTAGAACTGAAATTGATTAATTTTGGAAAACTACACTCTAACGCATTTAGGGAAACTTTAAACGTTGCAATATGGACCTTTACTTTTCAGGAACATAGATATCATTCTTCCTTGAACATTTCAGGATCATGAACTTTAGTGGATGTTTGGTTTAACCAAAAGCAGAGGCTGAGAAAGGGGTTAAGTACAGGTATCTTATTTGGGAAATAATTCATAAGAAAGGTACTGAAGTGAAATAGGGAAGAAGAGAAAACCAAAATAAAGATGCATATTATAGTAAGCCACTGCTGTGGATGACTAGAGCTTTCAGCCTTTCTAGAACATTCTGAGAAGACGTATGCACACTATCTCAGAGCTATGCATCTAGAGGAATAAAGGGTGGAAACTGTATTAACTGGCATTGGTTAAGTGGGGTCCCAGGATCGCTAATTCTCTTGCATTTTCTGCTTGCTTGTGTATGAGTGCACCAAGTATCCTACACAGGGTATTCAAGAAGCACTCAGGTAGAAAGTAAGAGATGTATGACACAGGTTCACGGTGAAGAGCTTTGGGTTGCTCTCAAGCCAGGCTGATGAAAGACTGTTTAGAACTGGTCAGTGCAGCAGTGGCTAGAGAAAGAGGTTAGGCTGGGATAATTTGTGCTTGGTAAGAATACATCCATTCAAGCCAAAGAGAATCAAATAGTGAGCACTTACTGTGTTCTGGCTACAGTTCTGAGCACTAGATGCCAGGATGAAAATCATAAAAATGTAGACCCTTTGTACACACTAGTGTGGTAAAGGTCCAAGTAAACAGATCATCACAGCACAATAAAATAAGTGCTAAGACAAAACAATGCAATGTGCTATTGGTGCAAGGAGAACTGAAAAACAAGTGTGCCAGAAAAGAGCAGCTTTGGCTAGAAAAGCCATTTTATTTATCTTACTTTTTAAATTTTTTTGAGGTGGAGTTTCGCTCTTATTACCCAGGCTGGAATGCAGTGGCACAATCTCAGCTCACTGCAAACCCTGCCTCCCGGATTCAAGTGATTCTCCTGCCTCAGGCCTCCTGAGTAGCTGGGATTACAGGTGCCTGCCACCACGGCTGGCTAATTTTTTGTATTTTTAGTAGAGATGGGGTTTCATCATGTTGGCCAGGTTGGTCTCAAACTTGAGACCTCAGGTGATCCACCTGCCTAGGCCTCCGAAAGTATAGGGATTACAGGCATGAGCCACTGTGCCCGGCCTTTCTTAAGCGTTTTTATAGGATAGGTGGTTGACTAAATCTTCAACAAAGAGAAGCATTTTTCTAAATGGGAAATGGAAATGAAAGAAGGTATTCTAAATATACAGCAAAACAGGAAAAAATGTCATAAAGGTTATATATGAAAAAGTTAATTTCATTAATAAACCTCAGGACATAACCTTTACATATAAGTAAATCGAACCTCAATGAAATTAGTCATTTGGCTTGGGTCACACCACTTTTTAGTTGACAGTTCAGACAAAAACCTAGAAATCCTCTCCTCATTTAATTTTTGTTTTTTATTTTGTTAGACTTATACCATATTTATTTTTTATTTAAAAACAAATATCATAGTCCATGGCACTTCTTTTTATGTCTTTTGGTGTTAATGTTTAAATTAATAAGAATCAATCTTGCTTGCTTTGAGTTTTCTTTTTATTGGAGGAACTATACAATCTAATCAGGAATTTACAGTGAAACTTTTTTACAGTGATCACTCATTATAAAACTGATTCCCCCAGGCAGAGGGAGCACAAAGTTCAATTTTTATTTTAGGCAGCTAAGTTAATGTAAAACATGCTTTTAAATCCCTGGATAAAACAGCAGACTTAGACAACCCAGAATTGATGTGTCTGACAGATGGGTTGGGATATGCCAAAAGAGACCTGGTAGAGACCCAGGGCTGGGGAATAGCAATTGGCACCTAAGGAAGAAGGTGTGAACAGGGTGAAATTGGCCTCTGATTCTGCCAGCACTCAACACTTTAGGAAACCACTGAGGATAGTTTTCACAGGATTGCTCAAGTGTCTTACGCAAATATGTCAGAGAAAGGACATTTTTTAAGGTTTAAGAATGGATTTTCACATTGTCTGATATAGTTCAGCAATTTTCCAGAGAGACAGCTTCTGCTAGGTCAAATATGTGATTTCTCTAACTATTCTGTCTTTCTCCTTTTTTGGGTTAATGAATAGCTCACTTTTATAAAGGGCTCTGGAATGGACTAGCGACAGATCTTTTTTGAGCTACAATGCTGGAAAATCACTTCAAGCCATTAAGGTCACTGTAGCCACAGTGAAAGCCCAGATGAATTCGCCACTTTTCTTGGAGTCAGGTATAAGGGGGAGTCTTTCAGCAACTTCAATTTTGTTTTTTTAAAACATTTACATTTTGTTTTTTAAAACATTTAGCTATACAGTTTTGGAAAAGGAATGGTTGTTCTGAGAAGGCAAAGGTGGCATTCAGGCACTAGGAAAATACAGAGGACATGGTGATGATGGATTCTATAAAACAAAGGAAAAAAAGGGGAGCAAAAGAAAAGGGGAGATATATTAGTAAATGTAAAAGAGCATTCAATATAATGTGAAACACATAAGTATAACTGAGAGTTACCACTTTTCAGGGGAACTAGTGGAGAGAAAATTTCCTATGCAGTAGAACAGGAACAAAGTGGGTAGAATAAACTTAAGCTTGTCTATTCTGAGTCTCTTTGGTAGAGTTTGTTTCCTGTCATACTAAAGAAGTGGAGGCAACTTAGTAACATGGCAGCCTTCTCAGTCCTCAAAACCACAAACAAACTCCAAATTAGAGACTCAAAACATGGTCAGGTCTGAGTAGTTAAACACATGTTCAGGCCTGGCGCGGTGGCTCACGCCTGTAATCCCAGCACTTTGGGAGGCCGAGGCGGGAGGATCACAAGGTCAGGAGTTTGAGACCATCCTGGCTAACATGGTGAAACCCTGTCTCTACTAAAAATAAAAAAATAAAAATAAAAAATATTAGCTGGGCGCAGTGGCAGGTGCCTGTAGTCCCAGCTACTCAGGAGGCTGGGGTAGGAGAATGGCGTGAACCCAGGAGGCAGAGCTTGCAGTGAGCTGAGATCACGCCACTGCACTCCAGCCTGGGCAACAGAGTGGGACTCCATCTCAGAAAAGAAAAAAAAAAAAAAAAAAAATTCAGAGCACCTCCTGTGTCAACAAGGATGTATTGAATGACTGTTATGTCTTCCAGGCATTTTGCTTGAGACTGAAATGAAAGAAACAATGAGTATGAGTATGATATAGTCCTTACTTGCTTAAGGAACCACTTCTTAGAAACAGGATACATTTTTCCATTCGAGATGGTAAATGTCATGATAAAAGTAACCAAATTTTCCAGAGGAATTTAGAGAAAGGAAGACCAGAGAGTATCTCACATTGATGGTGAGTTATAGGCTGAATCTTAAAGTGTCTGTTTAATTTGTCCAGATAAATAAAGTTAGGAAGGGCATCCCAGGGAGAGGGAAGAGCTAATGTTTGGAGCCAGGAAGGAGAGTGGTGTACATGGGGTTCTGTAACTACTCCAGCACCTTCACCTTAGAACTTTAAAATATAATGTAGGATGTAGCAGGAGCCAAGGAGGTGGGCAACTTGCCAGTCATGCCAAAATACATCAATTTCAGTATTTTATTCTATACACGTTGAGTATCCAGGTATTGCATTTCAATACGTGGATTCAGGATCTTCATGTCTGGAGGTAGAAGGAGCAATTTGAAATCTACTATAATGATCCAAGTGAATAATTGCAATCAGAAATAAGGTAGTAAAGGTGAGTGGATTTGAGGAGTATTTAAGACGAAAACTTACCAATCAGATGTAGTGGGTGAAGTTATATGAAGAATGAGGGTTAGTTAAGCACCCAGGACAATACTTGTATCAGGGAGATCAAATGACCACCAAAGTATGCAGAGCTGCCAAAGCATTACAGCCAGACTCAAGGTTGTAGGGACAAACTCATGAAGCACAAGGCCAGAGACCTGACAGAAGTAATGGTTTCCAGCAAGGTGATGTGGCAACCGCTAAAAACCAAACTAAAAGATGTGCATGTCAGTAAGTGCCTACATGAAAAGATGGTAACTCCGGGCTAGCCAGCTTGTCCTAATCCCTCAAGGCCATCTTCACTCCCATCCAAACCCACATCTATATCCAGTCACTCATAGCTGTTGGAAGGGATAAAACAAAATGGACCAAGAAAAACCCCAGACTCATACTTTACCTAGAATACTTTCGATCCATAATATTACGGATTTTGTTTGTAACAGATATTTTCCCCTATCATTAGAGCAGTATAACTGTTGTGAATCCAAAAAAGAGAGCCACAGCTAAGTTGTGAAAAGGTATCTCCTCCCCTATCTAAAGAAATAGGCAAGCTATTCACTCTCCTACAACTTCAGGGACCAAAGAAAAAAATGAATGAGGAGGGGAGACTTTAATACCTGCTTCCTGATGGAAACGGAGCTTTAGGTAGAAACTATTTCCAGGTAACTAATGTTATAAAACACTTAGATTTACAGTTGTCGTATTTTATATTTTTATATTTTATATACCTGAGTGTCTTCTGTAGTGTCCATAAAAGGGGTTTCAGATAATTGAGTTGGAAAACCAGCAGTAAATCTCCAGTGTTTCTGAACACTGGGCTAGACATTACCAGGAGAGAGAGGAGGATCCAGGTGTACTCGCTCTGTGTTTCAGGTCTGGCTACCTCCAGCATTTGACTTATTCTGACCCTCACCATCAGAATCAATAAGGGGAGTGTGCTACAGTACAGTTTGCCAGGCCCCAACCCATAGCTAATGAATCAGAATTTCTGATGATGGGTCAGAATTTCCTGCTTTTAAACTAGCTTGTCTTGTGTGTCTGAAGCTCATCTCAATTTAGAATCATTGAAAGTGCTCTTAGCACACCCAAAACATCACCTGCAGGCATCACTTAAAACCCACTGGGCACTTGAACTGGAATCGAAGAATTGCTCCAGGCAGTTCTTTCTTCATCCACACGAATATCCTCATGAATCATCTCTCCTTCCTCCCTGGACAAATCCCCTTATTCTCCCTTTTTTCCCTCGTCTAAGTTTTAATTTGATAATGAGACTTTTTTCACCTGCGTTCCTTCTCATCTGGCACCCCCTGTCCCTTAGTCCTGGGACAGCTCCAGGAACCAAAGGCAACCCATGCTGAGATCCTGTCAGAGTACTGCCCCAACCCTGCCCCTGCAAGTCCTGCATGTCTTCTCCTTGACTTTGCAAATCAAAAGGAGAGATTTTCCTTTAATCTGACATTTTTATAACATGACTGAGCACTGAAACACTCATATAGAATGCAGTCACAATGACTATGGAGGTAACATATGAATAAGTGGTGATATTTGGCTTCTAGTCCTAAGACTGGGAAAGAGAATACATGACCAGCTATGTGACCTCAGGCAATTTAGGTTCTCAGGTACCTGTTTTAGTCATCTTTAAAGAGGGATTAAAGCAGGATTTCTTTAAAGATGGGTTAAAGTGTTTACAAACATTGACGATATTCAAATTTGGGGCCAGATAATTCACTGTAATTGGGGTGGGGCCTGTCCTGGTCATTGTGAGATGTGACAACCAAAAATGTCTCCAGGCACTGTCAGATGTCTGCTGGGTGGGGAGCAAAATTGCCCACAGTGGAGAATCATTGGATTAAAGGTTCATACTCCAAGGATTCTTGAGATACTGAATGAGATAATAATGAAAATGTTATGAAATTCTAATGGATTATATAAATTAAGGTGTTATTTTTATAAAGTACAGCACAAAGTGTTTATGAATTTGATGTACTTAAATCTAGCATTAATATGGTTCAGGCTATCACCTGATCTTTGCAGGACATGAGTAATAATGATATGATACTTTTAAGAATGCATATGAAAGAGTTACACAAACTTGATTCTAAGCACTCTCTGACCTTGGTTAATGTTCTAGGCAGAGAGAGCAAACCAAACACTTGCTCTGCCTTAAGAAATACCCCCATCATTCATTGGAGCTGGATGCATTTTATCTAGCACTTTATGCATTTATAAATATGCACTGAAGTCACTAGGTGACTTCAGAATCAGTCACTAGTCAGTTTTTATGTTTCAACAATTGGAACGTATTTTAAATGAACAGTCCCTCTGAACTTACTGCCATTTCTGTAATATTACTCAGTAAAACAAATGTGGGAAGTCCATAGTTTTAAACTTGCCATTTCCATTTTAAAATACTACAGCTAAAATAGCTAAGCAAATAGATTAAAACCAAAACCTTATAAGGAGTTTTCTTCAAGGGAGAGAATCATATATTAGTTTTCTTCCGTTTAGATTTATAAATTTCTCTTCCTTCTGAAAAGCATGAAAGCTTTTTCCTTTTTCTGCTCTCTCCTTCCCCATTGTCCTTCACTCCCTACTCCACTCCCTAAACACAACACAAACACACACTCTCTCTCTCTCTCATTCACTCATTTTTTTTTTCTTTTTTCTTTTTTTTTTTTTGAGCAACATGGCTGTTTATTTCACCTGGGTGCAGGCTGAGTCCGAAAAGAGAGTCAGGGAAGGGTGGTGGATTATCATTAGTTCTTATAGGTTTTGGGATAGGCGGTGAAGTTAAGAGCAATGTTTTGTGGGCAGGGTGGATCTCACAAAGTACATTCTCAAGGGTGGGGAGAATTACAAAGAAACTTCTTAAGCGTGGGGGAGATTACAAAGTACATTGACCAGTTAGGGTGGGACAGAAACAAATCACAATGGTGGAATGTCATCAGTTAAGGCTATTTTTACTTCTTTTGTGGATCTTCAGTTACTTCAGGCCATCTGGATGTATATATGCAAGTCACAGGGGATGCGATGGCTTGGCTTGGGTTCAGAGGCCTGACATTCCTGCCTTCTTACATTAATAAGAAAAATAAAATAGTGTTGAAGTCTTGGGGCAGCGAAAATTTTCGGGGGTGGTATGGAGAGAGAATGGGCGATGTTACTCAGGGCTGCTTCAAGCGGGATTAGGGGCAGCGTGGGAACCTAGAGTGGGAGAGATTAAGCTGAAGGGAGATTTTGTGGTAAGGGGTGATATTGTGCGGTTATTAGAAGAAAAATTTGTCGTGTAGAATTATTGGTGATGGCCTGGATACGGTTTTGTATGAATTGAAAAACTAAATGGAAAAGGTCTAAGAATTGGGAGGACCTAGGACATCTGATTAGAGTGCCTAAGGAGATTCAGCATAGTCCTGCCAGCAAAGATTGTTTATTTACTTCAAGAGTTAAGAGTGGCAGGTTGGGGATAGCAGGAGGAGATATCAGCTGTGATGGCTTGGAGAAACAGTGTAAAACGGCAGTGTAAACAAGAGCAGGGCATGTATGAGTAGTTGAGAATGGAGAACAGGAGTATGACTAGACAGAAAATAGTAGGGATGACAAGTTTTTTGGGGGCACAGTCTAAGTTGGTCCGGTGTCTGGAATGAGACTGGGGCCTAATAAAAAGGAGCTCAAATGGGCTGTACCTTGTAGCATGCCGAGGACAGGTCTGACTTCTAAGAAGGGAAAGTGGTAAAAGTATTGTCCAGTCTTTTTAAGTTGGTGGCTGAGCTTGGTGAGGTCTGTTTTTAAAAGACCTTTAGTCCGTTCTACTTTTCTTGAAGACAGAGGACCGTAAGGGATATAAAGGTTTCACTGAATACTAAGAGCCTGAAAAACTGCTTGGCTGATTTGACTAATAAAGGCTGGTCTGCTATCAGACTGTATCGAGGTGGGAAGGCTAAACTGAGGAATTATGTCTGACAGAAGGGAAGAAATGACTGCGGTGGCCTTCTCAGACCCTGTAGGAAAGGCCTTTACTTATTCAGTGAAACTGTCTATTTAGACTAAGAGGTATTTTAGTTTCCTGACTTGGGGCATGTTGAATAAAGCTAATTTGCCAGTCCTGGGTGGGGGCAAATCCTTGAGCTTGATGTGTAGGGAAGGGAGGGGGCCTGAATAATCCCTGAGGAGTAGTAGAATAGCAGATGGAACACTGAGAAGTTATTTTCTTGAGGATAGATTTCCACGATGGAAAGGAAATGAGAGGTTCTGAGAGGCGGGCTAGTGGCTTGTACTATAGCATAGCCTGCCTTTGCTGTTGTGTGGCGATTAGGCCTGGTGGAACTGCCATCAATAAATCAAGCATGATCAGGGTGAGGAACAGGAAAGAAGGAAATATGGGGAAATGGGGTGAATATCAGGTGGATCAGAGAGATACAGTCATGGGGGTCAGGTGTGGTATCAGGAATAATGTGGGAGGCCAGATTGAAGTCCGGGCCAGGAACAATGGTAATTGTGGGACTTAACAAAGAGTGAGTACAGCTGAAGGAGCTGGGGAGCCGAAAGTATATGCGTCAGGTATGAGGAAGAAAATAGATTTTGGAAGTTATGAGAAATGTAGAGAGTGAGTTGAGCATAGTTTGTGATTTTTAGGGCCTCTAAAAGTATTAAAGCAGCAGCAGCCGCTGCACACAGACATGAGGGCTAGGCTAAAACAGTAAGGTCAAGTTGTTTGGACAGAAAGGCTACAGGGTGCGGTCCTGGCTCTTGTGTAAGGATTCTGACCACACTAACCATGCTTAGGAAGGAAAGGAGTTGTTGTTTTGTAAGGGATTGAGGTTTGGAAGATTAATCAGACACGATCAGCAGGGAGAGCACGTGTGTTTTTATGAGAATTATGCCGAGATAGGTAACAGATGAGGATGAAATTTGGGCTTGATTGAAGTAATGGGGGCTGTCTGTGAAGCCTTGCGGCAGTACAGCCCAGGTAATTTGCTGAGCCTAATGGGTGTCAGGGTCAGTCTAAGTGAAGGCAAAGAGAGGCTGGGATGAAGAGTGCAAAGGAATAGTAAAGAAAGCATGTTTGAGATCTAGAACAGAATAATGGGTAGTAGAGGGAGGTATTCAGGATAGGAGAGGATACGGGTTTGGCACCACGGGGTGGACAGGCGAAACAATTTGGTTGATAAGGCGCAGATTCTGAACTAACTTGTAAGGCTTGTCTGGTTTTAGGACAGGTAAAATGGGGGAATGGTAAGGAGAGTTTATAGGCTTTAAAAGGCCATGCTGTAGCAGGAGAGTGATAACAGGCTTTAATCTTTTTAAAGCGTGCTGTGGGATGGGATATTGGCATTGAGTGGGGTAAGGGTGATTAGGTTTTAATGAGATGGTAAGGAGTGCAAGATTGGTCGCCAAGGAGGGAGTAGAGGTATCTTATATTTGCGGGTTAAGGTGGGGGGATACAAGAGGAGGACACAAAGGAGGCTTTGGGTTGGGGAGAAGGGTGGCAATGAGATGTAGCTGTAGTCCAGGAATAGTCAGGGAAGCAGATAATTTAGTTAAAGTGTCTCAGCCTAATAAGGGAACTAGGCAGGTGGGGATAACTAAAAAGGAGTGCTTAAAAGAATACTGTCTAAGTTGGCACCAGAGTTGGGGAGTTTTAAGAGGTTTAGAAGCCTGGCTGTCAATACCCACAGCAGTTATGGAGGCAAGGGAAACAGGCCCTTGAAAAGAAGGTAATGTGGAGTGGATAGCCTCCGTGTTGACTAAGAAGGGGACAGACTTACCCTCCACTGTGAGAGTTACCCGAAGCTCGGCATCCGTGATGGTCTCGGGGGCTTCTGAGGCGATCGGGCAGCGTCAGTCTTCAGCCGCTAAGCCAAGAAGATCTGGGAAGGAGTCAGAGAGCCTTAGGCCAGAGTTCCAGGGGCTCTGGAAGTGGCTACCAGGTGAGTTGAACAGTCCGATTTTCAGTGGGGTCCTGCACACATGGGACACGGCTTAGGAGGAATCCCGGGCTGCGGGCATTCCTTGGCTCGGTGGCCAGATTTCTGGCACTTGTAGCAAGCTCCTGGGGGAGGAGGTTCTGGAGGAATGCCTGGCTGCTGCAGTTCAGGCATTTGGAATTTCTTGTGTGCTGGAGATGTGGCTGGTGTTTGTCTCACAGTGGAGGCAAGTAATTGCAACTCATAAATACATTGCTACTTGGCTGCCTCTACTCTATTATTGTACACCTTGAAGGCGAGGTTAACTAAGTCCTGTTGTGGGGTTTGAGGGCCGGAATTTAATTTTTGGAGTTTTATTTAATGTCGAGAGCAGATTGGGTAATAAAATGTATTTTGAGAATAAGACGGCCTTTTGACCTTTTAGGGTCTAGGGCTGTAGCGTCTCAGGGTTGCTGCCAAACGAGCCATGAACTGGGCTGGATTTTTATATTTGATGAAAAAGAGCCTAAACGCTTCTGATTTGGGATAAAGAAAAAGGAGCATTAACCTTGACTATGCCTTTAGCTCCAGCCACCTTTTTAAGAGTAAATTGCTGGGCAGGTGGGGGAGGGCTAGTCACTGAATGAAACTGTAAGCCGGACCAGGTGTGAGGAGGGGAGGTGATAAAAGGATTATAGGGTGGAGGAGCAGAGGCTGAGGAAGAATTGGGACCTAGCTTGGCCTGGTGAGGAGGGGAGAGGTCAGATGGGTCTATAGAAAAGGAAGATTAGAAAGACTCAGCGATGCTTGGGGTTGGGACTGAGGGGACAGGTGGGAGGGAAAGAAGGAAGATTTGGGATGAGTTGCATTGGGCACAGAGACTAGGAAGGGACCGATGTGTAAAAGAATGCCTGGACTTCAGGCACCTCAGACCATTTGCCCATTTTATGACAAGAATTATTTAGATCTTGTAGGATGGAAACATTGAAAGTGCCGTTTTCCGGCTATTTGGAACTACTGTCGAGTTTGTTTTGGGGTCAAGCACCATTGAAGAAGAAAATAAGATGCTTAGATTTTAGGTCAGGTGAGAGTTGAAGAGGTTTTAAGTTCTTAAGAACACAGGCTAAGGGAGAAAAAGGAGGAATGGAGGGTGCAAGGTTGCCCATAGTGAAGGAGGCAAGCCCAGAGAAAAGAGAGCATAGAGACATGGAGGGAAGGGGTTCAGGGGTTCTTACCCTCCAGAAAAGCGGGAAAGGGGTCGGGGCATGGAAATAAGGGATTGGGGGTTCTTGTCCCCTAGAAAAGCGGGACTTGCCGCTAAGGGTGAAGGAGAAGGGGTTGAGGGGTACGCCCCTCCCCCAGAAAAGCAGAGAAGGGGTAGAGACACGGAGAGAAGGGGTTGGGGTACTTTCCCCTCCCCCAGGAAAACGGGACTTGCCGCTAAGGGTGAAGGAGAAGGGGTTGAGGGGTATTTGCCCCTCCCCCAGAAAAGCAGAGAAGGGGTAGAGACACGGAGAGAAGGGGTTGGGGTACTTTCCCCTCCCCCAGGAAAACGGGACTTGCCGCTAAGGGTGAAGGAGAAGGGGTTGAAGGGTACTTGCCCCTCCCCCAGAAAAGCAGAGAAGGGGTAGAGACACGGAGAGAAGGGGTTGGGGTACTTTCCCCTCCCCCAGGAAAACGGGACTTGCCGCTAAGGGTGAAGGAGAAGGGGTTGAGGGGTACTTGCCCCTCCCCCAGAAAAGCGGGACTTGCCACTAAGGGTGAAGAAGGGGTTGAGGGGTACTTGCCCCTTCCCCAGAAAAGCGGGACTTGCCACTAAGGGTGAAGAAGGGGTTGAGGGGTACTTGCCCCTTCCCCAGAAAAGCGGGACTTGCCACTAAGGGTGAAGAAGGGGTTGAGGGGTACTTGCCCCTTCCCCAGAAAAGCGGGACTTGCCACTAAGGGTGAAGAAGGGGTTGAGGGGTACTTGCCCCTTCCCCAGAAAAGCAGAGAAGGCGTAGAGACATGGAAAGAAGGGGTTGGGGTACTTGCTCCTCCCCCAGAAAAGCGGGACTTGCCACTAAGGGTGAAGGAAAAGGGGTTGAGGGGTACTTGCCCCTCCCCCAGAAAAGCGGGACTTGCCACTAAGGGTGAAGAAGGGGTTGAGGGGTACTTGCCCCTTCCCCAGAAAAGCGGGACTTGCCGCTAAGGGTGAAGGACTAAGGCAGGCGTCCCTGCATGGTCTGACACCTTGGAAACATGGGTGAATAATCAGAGAGGTGTCCCTGCAATGATTAAACATCAAGGGAAGGCTGCCTTCCCAGTCCATGAGCGGCGCCGGAGTTTTGGGTCCACAGATAAAACGTGTCTCCTTTGTCTCTACCAGAAAATGAAAGGAATTGAAATTAAGAGAAGGGAGAGATTGAAGTGTGGCGCCACAATTGAAAGGAGAAAGAGGTTGAGGGACAGTGAGGGAGGTTGGAGAAGAGAGTAAAAAGAGGCCACTTACCGGATTTGAAATTGGTGAGATGTTTCTTGGGCTGGTGGGTCTGAGGACCTGAGGTTGTAGGTGGATCTTTCTCACGGAGCAAAGGGCAGGAGGACAGGGGATTGATCTCCCAAGGGAGGTCCCCCGATCTGAGTCACGGCACCAAATTTCACGCACGTCCGTGTAAAGAGACCACCAAACAGGCTTTGTGTGAGCAACATGGCTATTTATTTCACCTGGGTGCAGGCGGGCTGAGTCCGAAAAGAGAGTCAGCCTCACTCATTTTTCTTAGCCAGTTCCCAGACAATAAACATATACATTATGGCACTTACTTTGTTTCTGACTCTGGTAACCATGTAGTTCAGTGCAAAAACCATAGCCCTTAGTCCTTGTAGCCATGAACCCATGTTCAAGGTCCTACTCTGCGTTTTGCCAACTGTGTGTTTGGAGGAGAAGTCACCATGTGACATCTTAGTTTCCTCATCTATAATGTGCAGACTTCAGTGTCTTTTTACAATACAGTTGTGAGTGCTGAATGAAAAGAATAATAGTTACCCTGGGTAAAACGTATTCAATATTTTAAAAGACTTATCTCTTTCCCCTTCTCATTCATTTTTTTCCTTTGGTCCCTGAAGTTGTCATAGAGTGAATAGCTTGCCTATTGTTTCCTTAGGTAGGTGAAAAGATAACTTTTCATCACCTAGCTATGGCTCTCTTTTTGTGATTCACAAGAGTTATACTGCTCTAATGGTAGAAAAAAATATTCATTACCAGCAAAATCCATAATGTTATGGATTGGAATTTCCACTGAGGAAAATTACTTTTTCAGGTAGGTGAGGAGGTACCTTGTCATACTTTAGCTATGGCTTTCTTTTTCAGATTCTCAAGAGTTATGCTGCTCTAATGGTAGGGGAAAATGTCCATTACAAATACAATCCATAGTATTATGGATTAGAATTTCCCCTGGGGACAATGATTGCAATTCATGCTTAGGTCAGCAATAGTTACACTTAGTCTGATATCTCTAGCAGCACAGCATGAGACAGAGGCTTCTATGAGAGTACTTTGCTAGGAAGTAAGATCCCATAGACCAGAAATGAGAGATCGCTGGAAAGAGTAAAAGACAATTCAATGATTGTAAGTACTGTGTGGTGGCATGGGAAATTCATTTCAGGACCATCTTTTTTTGGTGGGCAGGGGTGAGAACTCTTTTCCCACATTGGTAGATGTTTTCTTCCATGGTACTATAACTTTACCACATTCTGGCTTATTTGCACACATGTGAGCACCAAGGGAATTCCTGCGACATTCCTCACTGCAGGGACAACAGACATGTCCAGGAGGCAGCAAACATCTTCATGAAGCTGGTAAAAGACTACATAACTGCCCACTCCAGTGGCAATTAGCATAAATTAGAAGTGAGGACAAGAAGATCTTATGAGGATATGTACAGTGGCCTATAATTCCAACACTCTGGGAGGCTGAGGTGGGAGGATCGCTTGATCTCAGGAGTTCTAGCCCAGACTGGGCAACATGGCGAAACTCTGTCTCAACAAAATATACAAAAATTAGCCAGACATGGTGGCACGTGCCTGTAGTTTCAGCTACTCGGGAGGCTGAGGTGGGAGGATCACTTGAGTCTAGGAGGTCAAGGCTGTAGTGAGCCATGATTGCGCCACTGCACTCCAGCCTGGGCAACAGAATAAGACCTTCTCTCAAGAAGTAAAGAAGATCTTACAATGTACACATTCGTGTGTTCACTACAGTGTAGATAGTGTGAGTTTTCAACATTTATTTATATTAGTACAATCCAAAGATGATTGCTAAGGTCTATCATATGCAAGTGATGTAGTGTGCCCTGGGATTAATGCGGTCACTGAAAGAGATGGCCTTTGCTCTATTTGATCTTATAAGCTAGGCAAGGTCAAGTAGTTAATATTGAGTGCTAACAAGATAAAATATTCGCAGGAGACCAAGATACTTCTTCCCACTGCTAATTATTATGCAAATGATGATAAATATCAGTGTATCATTACTGCACACAATATATGTTTCTTAGGACATCATTTTGGGGAAAAAAAAAACCTGGGGACAAAATTAGATAAAAAAGGAAATCGAACAAGCAACAATTGTGCAAACAAATAAACCATATCAATCAGTGATTCTATAGCTTGGCTGTAGTTGATAGATTGCTGAATGTCTAGCGAAGCTCTTCCATGTATAAATTTTTTCTCTGCAAGCAGGTTACTATTTGTTTTTCTTTTTTTAGATTGCCTCACATTCTTTGCCTGATTCAGACTTTTGGGGGCTTTACTACTGCAATCATCACTTTTAGCCTGGTCCTGGGAACTTCTGTTCTGAACTAGGAACCATCTCCATTGTAGTTGTTTGTATTATTTTTGCCACCTGTGCACTGCACCAGCTACTCACTACTCAGCAGACAACGCTACACTCTAATGGTATGGTAGGAACCTGGACTTTTCTTTGTACCAGCTGGTTTGAGAAGCAGCTTACTTAAATCTGTGTTGGTGACTAGAGTGAGACTCAGGCACTGTTCAACTGGCTCTCCTTCGCAAAACCAAGTCTCAGTTGCTTTTCAGAATAGGATGGTGATATAAGCGAAAACTGATATGCATTAATTCTTTCATTTGCTTCTGTCTCATTCAGTCCTCAAAACTAATCTTCAAAGTATGCACTATTGTATCTAGCATTCCCCTAAAGAGTAAACTGACACACATAAGATGTCTAGTCCATAGACATGCAACTGGCACACATAATCTGTTCTATTGACTCAAGAGCTATATGGCCACTTACATGGTTTCTTAATCCTTGAGCGTCTGGTAGAACTATATCTGAATAGAGGCCTGGGAACCATTTCCCAGGCTATAGCATCATATTCTACATCTCTTTCTCTCTCTGGAGTGCTGATACAACCCCAAAGAAATTAGACTGATATTCCGTCCTCTCCTACGATTTCATCTGCCTATATTTATACTCCTCCACCTTGATTTGCTGCCTCATTTTTATCTAAAGTTGTAACTATTTAGAGATTTCATTTCATAATAATTAATTCCTTTCCATATATAATGTATAGGCTGTTTATAGTGCATCTTTGCATATGGCCTAACATGATGTTAAGAAAAACTATGGAAACTTGGAAATAAACGGTGTGACTACACAATCTTTCACAGTCAGTGGGTGTGGTTTAAAAGGCTAACCCAAAGATTGTTCCATTCCCTAGGAGATGTACCTTTATTTGACTTTGCTATTTGTTATTTGATTAGAGCCCAGACACTGTAAAGTTTCATGTTAACTTACAGATTTCTGCCTCATAGAAAAGATAACCCAATGATTATGATGTTTTGCCCTGAAGGACAAGAGAAAGCTTTGTATCTAACTTAGCAAATTTATTCTACTCTGCTTTTATTTTTTTTCCTTAAATGTTTTTGCTGGAGGCCTAGATAAATTCTTCTTCCTTAAATTTTGTGAGAACCATCATTAGCATTTTACTGGTCCCTTCCTTAGTTAATGAGTTGAATAAAATCTTTGAAATGTGTTCATTTCCCATGTGTATAAGAATCATGATTTTAACTTTTGGAAAATTCTATGTTGACAATTGTTGCTTTATTCACTTGTTATTCATCACCTGTTCATTCATTCATGCATCCACTCAGGCATTCCGTCATTCATTTTACAAACACTTCTTAGGTGCCTGGTATTAAGTCTTGTCCTGGGTACCTAGGTTATAGCGGTTAACAAAACAGAGTAAATCTCTGTTTTCATGGAGCTGAGAGGAGAGAATACAACCTGAATAATAATATAAAACGTGGGAAAGTTTATTTAGAGTTGTGGGTTTCCAACCTTGCATAAAAATCACCTTTGATACTTAAAAATCATATAGTTTTCAAGGAGTCAGCCATGGGTATTCTAAGTCTATGTAACTTTTATATGGGAGCCAATTCTTTTCATTTTTTACCTGCTCCCTAGGCAATTTTGATGAACTTGGTTTTGGGAACATATTTTGAGAAAAAAGAAATGTGGACTTTTAACATTTTTGACCATTTGCAGTTTTCTATTTTGTTTCAAGGGATTATCAAATCACAACAACAACAACAACAAAATAAGGTCATGTCAGGGGACCTGAATCCAGCTTTTTTTCCCCTTTGTTTTCGTGTTTGTATTTTTTTTTTCCCTGAGTATTTAGAAATGTAACCTTGGGCAAGTTACTTTTCATCTCATCTCTGGGCCTCATCTCTGTCATTCTTAGATCTGATTAGACAAAATGACAGCTAATGTTTGTTCCAGCTCTAAATTCTATGGACAAGACAAAAAGTTAACTATATACATATCTCTTCATTATCCAATATTTTTTATGCTCACTGCATCCATTAATTTATTAATATTAGAATTCATTAGTGAATGCCAGAATTAATTAATGCAACAGATTATGAACTTGTACCAAATTTTGTTTGGTTTTACTTAATACGATAGGCAATAAATCAGATCTTCTACCAGTTAACATTTTGTAACTAATCTTTCTTGCAATACTGCCTAATGAAGAACAGCTAATTAATATGCTTCTAATAATTTACTGAACCACATCCTTGGCACCTAAAATCTACACTCACAAGTAGCTGGAACCACAGTGCATAGGCATGTCTGTGGCTTCCAATGTTCAAGGAAGGCTGTGAATTACATATAGTGTCTAATGAATTATTTATAATGGTGAGAAATGAGCTGAAACATGCATACCAGCTATAGGGAAGAGTAAACTGTAACAGCACTTGGAGCAGTGGGCAAACTCTGGCTGCCAGGCCTACTTTTTACTTTGAAATTCCTTGTAAGCAATGTGTGGCTTATTCTGACTTCAATTTTTTAAGAAAAAATAACGTAGACCTTCTCCATTAATTTCCTCTGAGTTTGTGATCACTGACATTTTGTGACAAAAAAGTACTGTTTTCGCCAATGTTTTCCACTTCTTTTATCCATCACATTTCTTTATTTCACTATATTTTAGAGGATTTGTTTCTGCAGTTGACAGATGGAAAACTGCAACCTGATGTGTACTAGAGCTCTAAATAGACTCCTTTTAAAAACATACTTGTTATTATTTTTATTGCTCTAGAAATGATAGATAAAGCAAGGGTAAAATAGAAAGTATCATCTTGATTGTAAATTCTTCCACCAGATCAAACGCTGGTTGAAGACAGAAAATGAGAGTCATCTTTGTTTCCTCCCACAGTACCTTATGCCTACCCTGTCCCACTGTGTACACTTATTATTCAGCAAAGTTATTGATACGTTGAGAAAAAGTGCCTGGATTCATACATCTAAACATTGAGGATGGAGCAGTGCATGAAGTACAGAAGATCACTGCTTTTATGGAGTTTATATTCTAGGGGTACACAATAAATGTCTGTTGAATAACACAAGCACTCTAAACATGTACCTTATTTATATTCTAACAACTAAAGGAAGCTCCAAATGCCCTATTTGTCCCTTCCTCAGTCCTCACCTAGTGTCTTTCCTAGGATCTGACCAAATATTCCTTTTTTTTTGCTTATAATAAGTTTTCTTTCTTAAGTGCATTTAGCGTTTCTCATACCCATTAAAAATAATCAAGAACATCCTTTGTGTGTGTGTGTGTGTGTGTGTGTGTGTGTGTGTCCCCGTATGAATCTATTTTTTATACAGCCATGGATCAGCTCAGTGTGCTGTGAGATGGGAATGTAATAAAAATAAATCAGATAAGACCCCATTTTTGCCTTTTGCATTCTCTTTCTAGAAGCCACTTTATTTTTCTGCTTAAACACCTGCTAAGCTCGAGTATCACCTCTACCAGAATTCCTCCCTTACCCTCACTTCTTATTTAAGATTAGTTTGAAAAGACCAGTGGTCTATGTTCCCATGGACCTCTGTGCTCAGCTGGTTATAATATAATTTGCAATGATTTTTTTTAACTCTATTTCTAATTTGACTCTCTGTCTGAAAACTTTCATTTATCCCTCAAGAGTAAAGCTCATAAATAATCACCTTTGTGAAATTTCCTTTGGTTGACTTCTAGAGAAGTTGAGCTCTCACAACGTGGTGCAAACCTAAGTTAGATAATTTATCACATCCTTCTCTATTATTTATTCAATAATACATTTTATTTGGTTTTGTATCCTCAGAACCTAGCACAAGATCTTGTGCAGAGTAGATGCTTAATGAATGTTGGCTAGATTAAATATGTCAATATCCCATATGTGGACTGGGCATGATGGCTCACCCAGCCCACAGGGTGGTGATCCCTGTACTGTGTGAGGCTGTGGTAAGAGTGTTGCTTGAGGCCAGGATTTAGAGACCAGCCTGGGCAACATAACGAGATCCCATCTTTATTAAAAAATAAAAATAAAAAAAATCATATGTTAGTGTTAGTGCCCTATTAGGTTTCTTTTTTTTTTTTTTTAACAGATTTTTGGAATCTGCCTGTATTCATCATTCTACTTGAAGAATGGTTCCTTAAACATTCAGTAAAATCTAATAAAATCTAAAATCTCTGAAGCTCCAGGGTTTCCTTGCCATGACAGCTGCAAATCTCATATTCTTCATGACAATGCCGCATGGCCACAATTCCACCTGGTATTCCCTCCTCTGAGAATGCAAGCCAGCAGGATCTGGCGTCTTCATGATCCTGTGAACGGTGGAAGCAATCAGCATCTGGCAGTGTCTTTCTTTTCTGTGAGGGGAGATTTTCCTTTTCTCTGCTGGCTCACAAAAAGTTCTACAAATTTTTGAGTACATTATATCAGGGAATTTTATTGTTGCTCTTGGTGGCACCATAATATGTATAAGCAAACATTGTTTTCAGCCAAACTGATACCCTGATACTTCTACTTCTTTTCCTATTAGTTCTCCTTGAGTAGAACGAACCAATAAATAACGTAATGATAAATGTGTATTTATGGCAACGTGAAGGCACACTCTGTGAGGATTCCAGTTATGCCATACTACTGAAACCCAAATCAGGAAATGCTCTTGTGGTGTCATGGATACCAGGGTCTATATTCTTCAGTTAAAAGTTAACTTCCTCTGGAGGCGGAGCTTGCAGTGAGCCGAGGTCGCGCGCCACTGCACTCCAGCCTGGGCGACAAAGTGAGACTCCGTCTCAAAAAAAAAAAAAAAAAAAGTTAACTTCCTCTCAGTTAAAAACGTGAAAGTAATTTCAGTATCAATGTAAATTAATTTCCAAGTTATATTTTTCGATGAAAAATGCAAGGTCCAAAAGAGTGTGCCTAATACACTACCATTTATATAAAAAGAATGAAAACTATGCTTGCTTGTAGGTGTTTAATTTTTTTTTTTTTTTTTTGTCTGAGCGGGAAAAAATGGGTTGGCTTGATTTATTTTTGCTAATTTGTATTCTCCATGTATCTATATTGATTATTTAATTAATTTTTTTTTATTATTATACTTTAAGTTTTAGGGTACATGTGCACAATGTGCAGGTTAGTTACATATGTATATATGTGCCATGCTGGTGTGCTGCACCCATCAAACTCGTCATTTAGCATTAGCTATATCTCCTAATGCCATCCCTCGCCCCTCCCCCCACCCCACAACAATCCCCAGACTGTGATGTTCCCCTTCCTGTGTCCATGTGTTGCCATTGTTCAATTCCCACCTATGAGTGAGAACATGCGGTGTTTGGTTTTTTGTCCCTGCAATAGTTTACTGAGAATGATGATTTCCAATTTCATCCATGTCCCTACAAAGGACATGAACTCATCATTTTTTATGGCTGGATAGTATTCCATGGTGTATATGTGCCACATTTTCTTAATCCAGTCTATCATTGTTGGACATTCGGATTGGTTCCAAGTCTTTGCTATTGTGAATAGTGCCGCAATAAACATATGTGTCCATGTGTCATTATAGCAGCATGATTTATAATCCTTTGGGTATATACCCAGTAATGGGATGGCTGGGTCAAATGGTATTTCTAGTTCTAGATCCCTGAGGAATTGCCACACTGACGTCCACAATGGTTGAACTAGTTTACAGTCCCACCAACAGTGTAAAAGTGTTCCTATTTCTCCACATCCTCTCCAGCACCTGTTGTTTCCTGACTTTTTAATGACTGCCATTCCAACTGGTGTGAGATGGTATCTCATTGTGGTTTTGATTTGCATTTCTCTGATGGCCAGTGATGGTGAGCATTTTTTCATGTGTTTTTTGGCCGCATAAATGTCTTCTTTTGAGAAGTGTCTGTTCATGTCCTTTGCCCACTTTTTGATGGGGTTGTTTTTTTCTTGTAAATTTGTTTGAGTTCATTGTAGATTCTGGATATTAGCCCTTTGTCAGATGAGTAGGTGGCAAAAATTTTCTCCCATTTTGTAGGTTGCCGGTTCACTCTGATGGTAATTTCTTCTGCTGTGCAGAAGCTCCTTAGTTTAATTAGATCCCATTTGTCAATTTTGGCTTTTGTTGCCATTGCTTTTGGTGTTTTAGACATGAAGTCCTTGCCCATGCCTATGTCCTGAATGGTATTGCCTAGGTTTTCTTCTAGGGTTTTTATGGTTTTAGGTCTAACATTTAAGTCTTTAATCCATCTTGAATTAATTTTTGTATAAGGTGTAAGGAAGGGATCCAGTTTCAGCTTTCTACATATGGCTAGCCAGTTTTCCCAGCACCATTTATTAAATAGGGAATCCTTTCCCCATTGCTTGTTTTTCTCAGGTTTGTCAAAGATCAGATAGTTGTAGATATGCGGCATTATTTCAGAGGGCTCTGTTCCGTTCCATTGATCTATATCTCTGTTTTGGTACCAGTACCATCCTGTTTTGGTTACTGTAGCCTTGTAGTATAGTTTGAAGTCAGGTAGGGTGATGCCTCCAGCTTTGTTCTTTTGGCTTAGGATTGACTTGGTGATGTGGGCTCTTTTTTGGTTCCATATGAACTTTAAAGTCGTTTTTTCCAATTCTGTGAAGAAAGTCATTGGTAGGTTGATGGGGATGGCATTGAATCTATAAATTACCTTGGGCAGTATGGCCATTTTCACGATATTGATTCTTCCTACCCATGAGCATGGAATGTTCTTCCATTTGTTTGTATCCTCTTTTATTTCATTGAGCAGTGGTTTGTAGTTCTCCTTGAAGAGGTCCTTCACATCCCTTGTAAGTTGGATTCCTAGGTATTTTATTCTCTTTGAAGCAATTGTGAATGGGAGTTCACTCATGATTTGGCTCTCTGTTTGTCTGTTATTGGTGTATAAGAATGCTTGTGATTTTTGTACATTGATTTTGTATCCTGAGACTTTGCCAAAGTTGCTTATCAGCTTAAGGAGATTTTGGGCTGAGACAATGGGGTTTTCTAGATATACAATCATGTCATCTGCAAACAGGGACAATTTGACTTGCTCTTTTCCTAATTGAATACCCTTTATTTCCTTCTCCTGCCTAATTTCCCTGGCCAGAACTTAAAACACTATGTTGAATAGGAGTGGTGAGAGAGGGCATCCCTGTCTTGTGCCAGTTTTCAAAGGGAATGCTTCCAGTTTTTGCCCATTCAGTATGATATTGGCTGTGGGTGTGTCATAGATAGCTCTTATTATTTTGAGATACGTCCCATCAATACCTAATGTATTGAGAGTTTTTAGCATGAAGAATTGTTGAATTTTGTCAAAGGCCTTCTCTGCATCTATTGAGATAATCATGTGTTTTTTGTCCTTGGTTCTGATATATGCTGGATTACATTTATTGATTTACGTATATTGAACCAGCCTTGCATCCCAGGGATGAAGCCCAGTTGATTTTGCTGGATAAGCTTTTTGATGTGTATTTTATTGAGAATTTTTGCATCAATGTTCATCAAGGAAGGATATTGGTCTAAAATGCTCTTTTTTTGTTGTGTCTCTGCCCGGCTTTGGTATCAGGATGATGCTGGCCTCATAAAATGAGTTAGGGAAGATTCCCTCTTTTTCTATTGATTGGAATAGTTTCAGAAGGAATGGTACCAGTTCCTCCTTGTACCTCTGGTAGAATTCGGCTCTGAATCCATCTGGTCCTGGACTCTTTTTGGTTGGTAAGCTATTGATTATTGCCACAATTTCAGATCCTGTTATTGGTCTATTCAGAGATTCAACTTCTTCCTGGTTTAGTCTTGGGAGAGTGTATGTGTTGAGGAATTTATCCATTTCTTCTAGATTTTCTAGTTTATTTGCGTAGAGGTGTTTGCAGTATTCTCTGATAGTAGTTTATATTTCTGTGGGATCCGTGGTGATATCCGCTTTATCATTTTTTATTGCATCTATTTGATTCTTCTCTCTTTTTTTCTTTATTAGTCTTGCTAGTGGTCTATCAATTTTGTTGATCCTTTCAAAAAACCAGCTCCTGGATTCATTAATTTTTTGAAGGGTTTTTTGTGTCTCTATTTCCTTCAGTTCTGCTCTGATTTTAGTTATTTCTTGCCTTCTGCTAGCTTTTGAATGTGTTGGCTCTTGCTTTTCTAGTTCTTTTAATTGTGATGTTAGGGTGTCAATTTTGGATCTTTCCTGCTTTCTCTTGTGGGCATTTAGTGCTATAAATTTCCCTCTACACAATGCTTTGAATGTGTCCCAGAGATTCTGGTATGTTGTGTCTTTTTTCTCGTTGGTTTCAAAGAACATCTTTATTTCTGCCTTCATTTCATTATGTACCTAGTAGTCATTCAGGAGCAGGTTGTTCAGTTTCCATGTAGTTGAGCGGTTTTGAGTGAGTTTCTTAACCCTGAGTTCTAGTTTGATTGCACTGTGGTCTGAGAGACAGTTTGTTATAATTTCTGTTCTTTTACATTTGCTGAGGAGAGCTTTACTTCCAAGTATGTGGTCAATTTTGGAATAGGTGTGGTGTGGTGCTGAAAAAATGTATATTCTGTTGATTTGGGGTGGAGAGTTCTGTAGATGTCTATTAGGTCTGCTTGGTGCAGAGCTGAGTTCAATTCCTGGGTATCCTTGTTGACTTTGTGTCTCGTTGATCTGTCTAATGTTGACAGTGGGGTGTTAAAGTCCCCATTATTAATGTGTGGGAGTCTAAGTCTCTTTGTAGGTCACTCAGGACTTGCTTTATGAATCTGGGTGCTCCTGTATTGGGTGCATATATATTTAGGATAGTTAGCTCTTCTTGTTGAATTGATCCCTTTACCATTATGTAATGGCCTTCTTTGTCTCTTTTGATCTTTGTTGGTTTAAAGTCTGTTTTATCAGAGGCTAGGATTGCAATCCCTGCCTTTTTTTGTTTTCCATTTGCTTGGTAGATCTTCCTCCATCCTTTTATTTTGAGCCTATGTGTGTCTCTGCACGTGAGATGGGTTTCCTGAATACAGCACACTGATGGGTCTTGACTCTTTATCCAATTTGCCAGTCTGTGTCTTTTAATTGGAGCATTCAGTCCATTTACATTGAAAGTTAATATTGTTATGTGTGAATTTGATCCCGTCATTATGATGTTAGCTGGTTATTTTGCTCGATAGTTGATGCAGTTTCTTCCTAGTCTCAATGGTCTTTACATTTTGGCATGATTTTGCAGCGGCTGGTACCGGTTGTTCCTTTCCATGTTTAGCGCTTCCTTCAGGAGCTCTTTTAGGGCAGGCCTTGTGGTGACAAAATCTCTCAGCATTTGCTTGTCTGTAAAGTATTTTATTTCTCCCTCACTTATGAAGCTTAGTTTGGCCAGATATGAAATTCTGGGTTGAAAATTCTTTTCTTTAAGAATGTTGAATATTGGCCCCCACTCTCTTCTGGCTTGTAGAGTTTCTGCTGAGAGATCCGCTGTTAGTCTGATGGGCTTCCCTTTGAGGGTAACCCAACCTTTCTCTCTGGCTGCCCTTAACATTTTTTCCTTCATTTCAACTTTGGTGAATCTAACAATTATGTGTCTTGGAGTTGCTCTTCTCGAGGAGTATCTTTGTGGCGTTCTCTGTATTTCCTGAATCTGAATGTTGGCCTGCCTTGCTAGATGGGGGAAGTTCTCCTGGATAATATCCTGCAGAGTGTTTTCCAACTTGGTTCCATTCTCCCCATCACTTTCAGGTACACCAATCAGACGTAGATTTGGTCTTTTCACATAGTCCCATATTTCTTGGAGGCTTGTTCGTTTCTTTTTATTCTTTTTTCTCTAAACTTCCCTTCTCGCTTCATTTCATTCATTTCATCTTCCATCACTGATACCCTTTCTTCCAGTTGATCGCATTGGCTCCTGAGGCTTCTGCATTCTTCACGTAGTTCTCGAGCCTTGGCTTTCAGCTCCTTTAAGCACTTCTCTGTATTGGTTATTCTAGTTATACATTCTTCTAAATTTTTTTCAAAGTTTTCAACTTTTTTGCCTTTGGTTTGAATTTCCTCCTGTAGCTCGGAGTAGTTTGATCATCTGAAGCTTCTTCTCTCAACTCGTCAAAGTCATTCTGCATCCAGCTTTGTTCCATTTTGTTCCATTGCTGGTGAGGAGCTGCGTTCCTTTGGAGGAAGAGAGGCGCTCTGGTTTTTAGAGTTTCCAGTTTTTCTGCTCTGTTTTTTCCCCATCTTTGTGGTTTTATCTACTTTTGCTCTTTGATGATGGTGATGTACAGATGGGTTTTTGGTGTGGATGTCCTTTCTGTTTGTTAGTTTTCCTTCTAACAGACAGGACCCTCAGCTGCAGGTCTGTTGGAGTTTGCTAGAGGTCCACTCCAGACCCTGTTTGCCTGGGTATCAGCAGTGGTGTCTGCATAACAGCAGATTTTTGTGAACCGCGAATGCTGCTGTCTGATCGTTCCTCTGGAAGTTTTGTCTCAGAGGAGTACCCGGCCATGTGAAATGTCAGTCTGCCCCTACTGGGGGGTGCCTCCCAGTTAGTCTGCTCGGGGGTCAGGGTTCGGGGACCCACTTGAGGAGGCAGTCTGCCCGTTCTCAGATCTCCAGCTGTGAGCTGGGAGAACCACTGCTCTCTTCAAAGCTATCAGACAGGGACATTTAAGTCTGCAGAGGTTACTGCTGTCTTTTTGTTTTTCTGTGCCCTGCCCCCAGAGGTGGAGCCTACAGAGGCAGGCAGGCCTCCTTGAGCTGTGGTGGGCTCCACCCAGTTGGAGTTTCCTGGCTGCTTTGTTTACCTCAGCAAGCCTGGGCAATGGCAGGCGCCCTTCCCCCAGCCTCGCTGCCGCCTTGCAGTTTGATCTCAGACTGCTGTGCTAGCAATTAGTGAGACTCCGTGGGCGTAGGACCCTCCGAGCCAGGTGCGGGATATGATCTCCTGGTGCGCCGTTTTTTAAGCCCCTCGGAAAAGCGCAGTATTCGGGTGGGAGTGACCCGATTTTCCAGGTGCCGTCTGTCACCCCTTTCTTTGACTAGGAAAGGGAACTCCCTGACCCCTTGTTCTTCCCGAGTGAGGCAATGCCTCGCCCTGCTTCGGCTCGTGCACGGTGGCTGCACCCACTGTCCTGCACCCACTGTCTAGCACTCCCTAGTGAGATGAACCTGGTATCTCAGATGGAAATGCAGAAATCACCCATCTTCTGCGTTACTCACGCTGGGAGCTGTAGACCAGAGCTGTTCCTATTCGGCCATCTTCCATTATTTCAGGTGTTTAATTTTCTCTAAAGGATACTCCATAAATCGATGACAGAAGTTCCCCCTAGGTAGGGAAACTGGTTATCTGAAGTATAGAGGTGGGAAGCAAGCTTTTTCCTCCATAACCTTTTGTGCTTTGTGAATTTTGTACCATGAAGATATATTTGCTGCCCATTCAAAATTAAAAAAAAAATACATTTGGCTAAAAGTGTGATGTCTAAGTCAAGTCAGTTGAGAGTGTGATGGATTTCAAAGCAGACAGGGCACTTTCATCTCCTGGGGACTTTCTTACCTCCTTTGTTTTCCTTTCATATGTCACCAGTGAATTCTTTCCTCCTACTGGTTAATGCTAGGTGGACTCATACAATGCCTACTGCATCTGGGACTCATTGTTATCATAGACCTTTCCTCATATTGATATCTACATAATCAAAACATGAGCACCTCCTCATTTCTTATCCAGAACTTCCCAGAGGCCAATTAGGCAAATATTTCTTTCTTGAAATTTCTTAAAATCTTAAGCCCATCTCACAAAAGAGAAAACAAACTTAAGTCGTCAATGTATTTTCTGTGCCTACAGGACATGACTGGATAATTTACATTTATGGTGGGAGTTACATTTCACTTACCTTGAAACCAGATCAATAGGAAATAGAAGAAAGAAAGCAAGCATTTGTTAAACGACCACCATTATGGAGCTTTAGGATAGGTACTTTCTATTCATAGGTATATGAATTATATAACGAATTCATTTAATCCCCTCAAACCCATCAGAGAGGGGTAGTTTTATTATTCTTGTCTTATAATTGAGGAAACAGATACAAGAGTATTGAATAACTCATCCATGCATCCAACCCCTCTGACTCCAAGGCTCTTTCTACCAAAGTCCTGTTGAACTATAAGAAAATGTTATGAAATAATAGAAGTTGGAAAGCTCATATCTTTGTTTCAGTCTTGTTTTACTAATCCTGTGCAGCAAAATGTCACCACCAAATGCAAGATGTATTTCATAAAATGCCTTAATCTGTTTATTCATCACTTAAGGGTACATTAGAGAGACTGAGAACTTGATCTTTATTTTCCTACTAACAGATGTTGTTACTAAGAAACATGTAATTGAGCACTTTGGGGCAATTACTTTAAAATATAATGCTCACCTTTCCAATAACTTTCCACACAGTTCCCCGAAATTAAGACACATTTCATGTTGACTCATCAAAGGGCCCCATGCCCCCTCCTTTGAGACAATCCTACCTCTAAAAGTATGGTTTAAATTTGCCAACCCAGTACAAAAAGGAAGAATATCAGGCCTCCTACATATTCACAACCGTCTGTCACTAGATCTGGAGCAGCTTTTGGAAGCTTTTTAAGCCTCTCTCAAGTGTTTCCTTTCCTTACATCCAGGTGATTACTGCATTCAAAAAATATTTTTCTCCCTTTCAGAAATTCCAGAATCCTGAAGTACATCTGTATCAGGTAAGGTTTTAAAAGATGTTTAAAGATAATTTAAATAGTCAGTGCAATTTCTTAATTTCTCCAAATGTGCTGTGCTCTATCAAACACACTTTTTGCCTTTGTATCTGCATTTCCCTTTGTCTGGCTTGCTGCTGCTTCGCCCATTGACCACATCATCTTTTTCTTGTCAATCTTTATTTACCTTCAGGAGCCATTTCATCATCGATTCTTCTTTGAAATATATTCTGATTCCACCCTACCCCCTAGGCAGAGTTATGAACCTCCTCACTGTGACCACATTGAATGTCTTAAACAATAAACTCTCTTACAACATTGATTTCTTACATTTGCCTACATCCTTTCTCCGCTGCTAGACTAATGCTATTCAAAAACTGCTATATGCATACACACAGGGATGAAGTGATGGTATTATAGACTGTGCCTGGCACAGAGGCTTGCTAAATGTTTGAATAAATTTTTGTTGAATAAACAAAATAGTATTGCTTGTTTTTATGAGAACATCAGACATTTATTAAGTCACTACTGCATAGACCATTATGCTGAGGTTAATGTGGGACTTAGACCTACAAAAGCATCTACATAGGAGGAGGTCAAGAGCATATGCTGTGGACCAATACAGATTTGCTTCCATTACTTATTCTAAGATGTATGGCAAATTAATCAACCCCATTATGCAAATGGTCTTATTAGGAAACTGAAAATATTAATAGTATTTTGACTGCATATATTTGTCCTGTATATTTAATAAGATAAATGTATATTAGACACTTACTGATAGATCTGACACACAAGAAGCATCAGGGACCTTGAGAACACAAGGTAAGATTGAGAACACAAGATAAGGTTGAGAACACAAGATGAGATTGAAACTGCCTTTGCAGGAGTTATAACAGTGAGAAAATTATGACAGTGATAGAGATCTGATTTAACCAACACTCAGCGTGCCTTTAACCTCCAAACTGTGCTTAATCATTCCTGGATTTGAGCCAAACTAACTGATATGGTTTGGCTCTGTGTCCCCACCCAAATCTCATCTCCAATTGTAATCCCCACATATGAAGGAAGGGACCTGGTGGGAGGTGATTGAATCATGGGGGTGGTTTCCCCCATGCTCTTCTCATGATAGTGAGTGAGTTCTCATGAGATCTGATGGTTTTAAAAGTGTGAAGTGTTTGGCACTTCCCCTATTGTGCTCTTTTCTCTCTCTCCTGCTGCCATGTAAGATGTGCCTTGCTTCCCCTTCACCTTCCACCATGACTATAAGTTTCCTAAGGCCTCCTCAGCCATGCAGAATTGTGAGTCAATTAAACCTCTTTTGTTTATAAATTACCCAAATCTTGGGTATTTCTTATAGCAGTGTGAAAACAGACTAATACATTAAATTGGTGCCAGTAGAATGAAGTCCTGCTATAAGTATAACCTGAAAATGGGGATGTAACTTTGGAACTGGGTAATGGGGAGAAGCTGAAACAGTTTGGAGGACTCAGAAGAAGACAGGAAGATGTGGAAAACTTTGCAACTTGCTAAAGACTTGTTGAATGGTTTTGACCAAAATGCTGATAGTAATGTGGGACAATTAGAGTCCAGGATGATGTGGTTCCAGATGGAGATGAAGAACTTATTGGGAACTGGAGCAAAAGTCACTTTTGCTATGCTTTAGCAAAGAGACTGGTGGTATTTTGCCCCTGCCCTTGAGATCTGTGGAACACTGAACTTGAGAGAGATGATTTAGGTTGTTTGGTGAAAGAAATTTCTAAGCAGCAAAGCATTCAGTAGGTGACAGGACATATAAATTTGGAAAATTTGCAGCCTGAAGATGCAGTCAAAAAGAAAAACTCACTTTCTGGGGAGAAATTCAAGCCAGCTGCATAAATTTGCAGAAGTAACAAGGAGCTGAATGTTAATAGCCAAGACAACAGGGAAAATGTCTCCAGGGCATGTCAATGATCTTCAAAGCAGCCCCTCACATCACAGGTCTGAAGGCCTAGGAGGAAAAAGTAGTTTCCTGGGCCAGACCTAGGACTCTTCTGCTCTGTGCAGCCTCTGGACTTGGCATCCTGCATCCCAGCTGCTCCAGCTGTGGCTAAAAGGGGACAACACACAACTCAGGCCATTGATTCAGATGGTCCAAGCCCCAACCCTTGGTGGCTTACACATGGCATTGGGTCTGTGGGTGCACAGAAGTCAATAATTGAGGTTTGGGTACCTCTGTCTGAATTTCAGAGGATGGCTGGAAGTGCCTGGCTGTCCAGGCAGAAGTCTGCTGAAGTGAGAGAGCCCTCATGGGGAAACTTTGCCAGGGCAGTGAGGAAGGGAAATGTGGGGTGGGAGCACCCACACATAATCCCCAGTGGGGCACTGCCTAGTGGATCTGTGGGAACAGGGCCACCATCCTCCCGAACCCAGAATGGTAGATCCACTGACAACTTACATGGGAAAGCTGCACTTGGGAAAGCTGCAGGCACTCAATGCCAGCCCATGAAAGTAGCAATGAGTGCAGAGCTGCCCAAACCCTTGGGATCCCACCACTTGCATCAGCATGCCCTGGATGTGAGATATGGAGTCAAAGGAGAGCATTTCAGAGAAAATGAGTCAATACTCATTTTATAATGGTCTTCAATCTTCTTCTAAAATAAACGTGCAACCCTGTTAGAAATCTCTCCAAAAGTGAAGATAGTATATGAATTAAGTTAGCATCAGGAAGCACGAAGAACACAGATGCTCTTAATTTACTTTTAGCTTATTAATTAACATAGTGTAGTTTTTCAAGAGCTTATTCAAAAACTACTTTAATTCAGATTTAGTTTTACTTGGTCAGAGATGATGTAAATTTTAGATAACATTTGCAAGTGATTTTTTTAAATGTCACACCTGTCCATTAACAAATTTATTTTTGAAGATGTACTTACGAGGTGAATTTTTTAAATAAAAAAAGGTAATTGTAAAAATGTAAGTGTATTTATCAAAATACGTTGAAGAAGTATTTTGGATCATATCTGCTATTTCATAGTTGACTCTTAATGTTAAAATAAAAATATTTTAAAATAGGAAAATATAAACACAGCAACTTTACATCCTTGGTAGTGTATTTAGCAAAATGCATTAACTACTCTAAACATATCTGTTAAGCTTTGACATATTAATTATACTTCTGGGAATCACTTTTAGATAATAAACCCTAAAAGTAGATCATATTTTAAGCAATAAAATCTCTGCTGATAAACAAGTGGAATGCCAAAAATATATGAAGTATACAATCACCTATCAGTTCAAAATTATATGTAGCTATTGACAAGGACAATTGTATTACATAATTATCTAATGTTGTGAAAAATAATATGTATTAGATTGAGCATACATCTTGATTTACTCAGGGCAGTTCCAGTATAGCCTTTTGCAAACCAATTGAAACCTACTAAGTACTTTTAGTTTTCCTTTTATTTTAAAGGAAAGACTATATGTTCATTCTACTTATTATATAAAGAGAAAGTCCAGGAAGAAAACAGTATGCATGCCATAATTGTAAAGGGTACAAATAAATAACAATAATAAGACTTTTTTAATAATAAGGTCAGAAAGAAAAATATCAAAATATTAAAAGTGACTATCTTTGATATGGGGGGTGGTGGTGCTATTGTAATTTGCCCCTATATTATCCACTTAAACTCTGGCTTAAATGCTTTTAATAATGAGCATGAATTATAGTGAAAATGATATAAAATAATTACTGTTAACCTAAAGAATATATATATTATATATAAATGTATTAGGGTTATCTAGAGGGACAGAACTGTGTGTATATGTATGTATATATATATATATGAAAATTTATTAAGTATTAACTGCATGATCACAAGGTCCCACAATAGGCCATCTGCAGTCTGAGGAGCAAGGAGAGCCAGACACAGTTCCAAAACTGAAGAACTTGGAGTCCAATGTCCAATGTTCGAGGGCAGGAAGCATCCAGCATAGAAATATGTAGGCTAGGAGGCTAGGCCAGTCTCTCTTTTCATATTTTTCTGCCTGCTTATATTCTAGCCACACTGACAGCTGATTAGATTGTGCCCACCCAGTTTAAGGGTGGATCTGCCTTCCTCAGCCCACTGACTCAAATGTTAATCTCCTTTGGCAACACCATCACAGACACACCCAGGATCAATTCTTTGTATCCTTCAATCCAATCAAGTTGACATTCAGCATTAACCACTGAAATTAATCTTTTTTTGATAACCTGTAGTGACAAGGTTTTATATTAATTGGATGTCTTAAAAACCATGACTACTGTAATGTATTTATCTGAGTTCCTTTTCTTTTTAATAGAAATTTGTAATAAATTTTTAAAAATTAATATATTTTTATTTAAATAGCTTTTGAGGTACTACTCATTTTTGGTTACATGGATGAATTGTACAGTGGTGAAATCTGAGATTTCAGTGCCCCAGTTACTTGAGTAGTGTATACTGTAGCCAATATGTAGGTTTTTGTCCCAAACCCCCCTTCCTCTCCCTGCTCTGAGTCTCCAAAGTCTATTATATCACTCTGTGCACCCATAGCTTAGCTTGACAGAGGTAGTTGAAGCAGTTCTAGTAAAACACTGAGATCTTATCGGGGGAATGGTGGGAGCCACCTCAGCTCCCCTATTAGGCCAGCAGGAAAACAATCCACCTTCCAGTCACACTCCTGACTGACCCAGTGTTCTGGCTTTTCATATCATACAGACACCTTTTTTCATATCACACAGACACCTTTTTTCATCAGACACCTTTTTTCATGTTGATGTTCCATATAGAGAGGGATTGTGACTCTGCTCCTTGTGCAAGCCTGAACCTGGAGGACACTCATCCTGTGGGGACACAGTGACCCTGAAATGTTCCAAAAAGGCTATGTACAGGTGCACCCACTCTAAGCTCCAATGGATAAGCTCTAGCTGTTTTTGCAGTGGTGGATGAGGAAGAAAAGAAATGTCCTTCTCCAAGACCCTTCATGAGGACCAGGGCTGCCTGACTATTGGCGTAGAGCCACAGACTCTCCCTGCTGAGCCCAGCACTTCACCTGTGCCTGTGCTGAAGGAAACTTTCCACATGCAGAAATTTCTGAGACTCAAGTCCTGCTGTCTGAATTCTTTTGTCTCATGGGGTACTCCCTTGATGTGGTGCACTCCCTGTTTCCCTAGGAATAGGAGTTCCTGAGAGTCAGACTACTGTAAATGCTGCTGTCCCTCTAGGTCTAGCCACCCAGTGGGGCTGCCAGACCCCAGGCCGGTGCTACAGAATGTCTGCAAGAGACCCAGTGATGTGATCTGTCCTCAAGTCTCCCAGCAGCGGGTAACAGCACTAACTCTGATGAGGGTGACAGAGGAGAGACAGACTCTTTATATTCACTGGTTATAAATAATCTTAATTTGTTGGCTTTCTCAAATGCTGGTTGTGATAGTAATGAAGTGGTCACGTGGACAGACTAAGGAACTCCTGTTTAGCCAGGGTGCTGCAGGCAATGTTAATAGTTAAGGTCACTCACAATAATTAAGGTCACAGTGCCCACTGTTTTATTCTACCTAGAGCTGCTGTAACGCATTGTGTCAGTTGGCCACAAGCCAGGAGGTGGTACTTGCAAAAGAATACCAGCTGCAGTGGTAGGGGTGGGATTTGTGCTTGCCTTATGTTACCCTGGGGAGGTAGTCTCGTGTCTCTGGCAATGGATGGGACCATAGAGCTCCCAAAAGTTTCTGCCCTTTGTGTTAAGCTACCAGGGTGGATAAAGGAGCAAAGCCAGGTTGGGGCTGGGTCAGGCCAGTCTGTACTCTAGCTCTCCACATATGGGACAAACCCCATTGAGGATCTGAGGGCAGTTCTCTTGCCACTGGGGTAGTGTTCCATGGAGGAGTGCTTCCTGTACTGTACAGAAGAGTTCTCAGGAATAGTGAGGGGTGACAGGCAGCAGTAAGCCCACTGTGTTAGTCTGTTCTCACATTGCTATAAAGAAGTACCTGAGACTAGATAATTTATAAAGAAAAGAGGTTTAACTGGCTTATGATTTTGAGAGCTGTATAGGAAGCATGTTGTTAACATCTGCTTGGCTTCTCGGGAGGCCTCAGGAAACTTACAATCATGGAGGAAGGCAAATGAGGAGCAGGCACATCTTACACTGCAAGAGCAAGGCGGGGCATGGGGGACAGTGGGGGAAGTGCTACTGCTATTCACTTTTAAACAGTCAGCTCTTAGGAGAACTCACTCCATTGTTGTGAGGACAGTACCAAGAGGATGCTACTAAAACATTCATGAGAAATTCATCCCCATGAGCCATTCACCTCCCACCAGGCCCCACCTTCACATTGGAGATTACAATTGAACATGAGATTTGGGTGAGGACACAGATCTAAACCCATATCTCCCACCCAGCTCTCACTCAGTTGGCAAGGGGGGTCTCACGCTAGCTAAGTTCCAGGCAGTCTGTGCTCAGAACTCAAAGCTGCCCCAGGCCACACCTTCCCAGTGGAGACAGGAATGGCAGCTTTCAGGCCATGCCCCTCCCAGTCTACCCATGAAGCTGGGGTGCCCAGATCCTGCACTTGTAGCTCCAGCACACTTCCCACACATCCACTGGTTCTGCCCAAGGGAGTTTGTCCTCAGTGGAGACTATATTACAAATCTTAGTTGGGAGCTTCTTGCAACCAACAACCGCTGCCTGAATTAGCTGGCAGGCTTCCACAAGATTCCAGCAAGGTTGAATCAGGAATGGCTTTTCTCCATTCATGCTGGAGACAGGGATTGCATGCAAAGCACTCCCCACTGCTGCTCCTTTTTATATATTCCCCACCACTCCCTAAATCAGCTTCAGTGCTGGGAAGTGTTAAGGCCTTCCCTCCATGGTGTGGATTGCTGGGTTCTCTGGTGGAAGTGTATTTCCCAGAGGCAGTTCTCCCCCTTCTTATACTCTGGGGACTTACCTTTTTTCCCCTGGCTCACGGTGTAGGCTGCAACCTGCTGCTTCTTTCAAAAGGTCTGTGGTTTCTTTCAGTTTTCCCGTTAAGTTCTTGCATTGCATCTTGGAAAAAGTTCACCATGTGTATTTCTACACATTGTTTTGTGTTTCCAAATAGGAGAGGCATGCTAACATTGCCCCCAGTCTGCATTCTTGGGGGAAAAATTGACTATTTTTTTTTCAGAAGTTTTAGGTTGACAGCAAAATTGAGCAGAAAGTACAGACAGTTCCCATATTCCCACCCCCATACCTCACATACATAGGCTCTCCCATTATCAACAGCCTCCACCAGATTGATACATTTATTACAATTGATGAACCTACATGAACACATCATTATTACACGAATACTATAATTTCCATTAGGGTTCACTTCTGATGTTGTTCATTCTATGGGTTTAGACAATTGTATAATATGTATCTACCATTATATTATCATGAAGAATGGTTTTACGGTGTTAAAACTTCTCTGTGATCTACTGATTTATCCTTTCATCCCTCCTAATCCCTGATAAAGACTGAACTTTTTCTTGTCTCCACCGTTTTCCCTTTTCCAGAATGTCATGCATTTGGAATCATACTGTAGACTTTCTAGACAGGCTTCTTTCACTTAGTAATATGTGTTTAACATTTCTCTATGTATTTTCATGACTTGATAACTCATTTCTTTCTAGTGTTAAATAATATTCCATTGTCTGTATGTACCACAGTTTATTTACCCATTCAGCTACAATGGGTCATCTTGGTTGCTTCCATGTTCTGGCAATTATAAATAAATCTGTTATTTACATCTGTGTGAAATTTTTGTGTGGACATAACTCCTTTGAGTAAATACTAAAGAACATAATTGCTGGATCATATGATAAGAATGTCAGTTTCATAAGATACCATCAAAATGTCTTCCAAAGTGGTTATGCCATTTTGCATTCTCACCAGCAATGAATGAGAGTTCCTGTTGCTCCACATCCTTGCCAGCATTTGGTGTTGTCAATGTTCTGGATTTTTGCCATTCTAAGAGACGCATAGTGAGTTTTTTCCCATTTAAACGCTCTGCTTTTGTTTTTAATATAACTTTCTGAGAGTTTAGAACATGTGTTAACTGCTAAAAGCGAATTTTGCTTTTTTTAACTTACATCATACAGGGAACAATCAAGGATCCACCCACTCGTTCATTAAATAAACATCAATGGCAACTTCTATGTCTTCTTAAGCAAGCTAGAAGGCATGAAGATTCTGAAATAAACATCACAGTCGTGGTCCCTGAGTTCATAACAATTTTGTTTAGAGAAAAATAATACAGAAAATGAATGTATTAAACAAACGAATAAAATATTTAATTTCAGAGAGTCTTAATCTATAGACATTGGAACGAGTAATATGATAAGTACCCTGAATGGGGGTGGAATACTATTTTATGTAGGACAGTCTGGAAAGGTCTCTCTAGGTATACATTTATTCTGATACTAATTATAAAAATTTCTGAGCTAAAAGCTTCCTTTTCAGCATATAAGAGTGTAAGCACAATGGAATTGAAGAAACCTTTGCTCTCTTGACACCTACACAAAAGCCAGAGTTCTTAGAGTCAAATAGCTTTAGTCTCCAATTAAAATATTAAAATTTGTCATTATAGAGTCAGAAACTATCTCAGAACTTTACTTTGGAAACATTCCACCAATAAGAAACCATTTGTTACCATCAAAATCATTCCAGAAAGATAAGGAGATGCCTATTAATGCACCAAAACAAACTTATACATATTTGCTGAGGTATTTAATATTGGATAATATAGCTGAACATCACATTTTATTCTTTGTGCTTTTGACACATATTTATTGGACACCTACAATGTGAAAGCTGCTTTTCTAGGCTATGGGGATATAAGACTGGAATGGTAAAAATTTAAACATAAAAATTTCCATCCTCATGAAAAATTATTTCATGACTAAGCAAATATTAAGTAATAACAGCACATTGAAAGAGGGAATATTGAATAATGATAAGTATTAGGTTGGTGCAAAAGTAATTTTTTTGCCATTACTTTTAATGGCAAAAATTGCAATTACTTTTGCACCAACCTAATAATATAGGAGAAAATAAATAGAAAAGAAGAATTAGGAAGGGTGTAAGGCTTTCAATTTTAAATAGGTATTTCAGAAAAGGCATTCTGAGAAACTGTTACTTAAAGATCTGAATTAGGTGAAATATGGGAAGAGCATTCTAAAAAAGGGGAGCTGAATGTACAAGGAAAAAATAAAGCATAGAGATAATGAATACACACTTACATAATTTACCTACATATGTGCATCCCTTATATTCAAGGGAATAAGTATAAAATACATACTGCATACATATACACAAAGAAGCACATGTACATACATGCATAAACAGTTATCAGGCTGGAAAAGAGAGAACAAAGAGGGAGAGGAGTATTTGTAGAGAAACGGGTAGCAGATAGTTTTGTAGAGGATTTTATAAGCTGTTTAACATATTTAGCTTTTACTCTGAATGATATGGGAAATTAATGGACACCTTTGAGCAATGAATGATAGGTTTTAACTTGTGTCTTAAAAGTTCCCCTCTCGCTAGTGATTACAGGTGTACTTAAAAGTGCAGTCATTATGATTAGCTGATTTAAATGTGGGTGATAGCAAAAGTGGAGAGCAAAATGACTTCATGGCATTTGGCCTAAGTAACAAGAAGAAAGTATTTTCCAATAATTAGATAAGAAAGTCTATGAGCAAAGTAGGTATGATGGAGCGTACTGGGAATTTGTTGGACATTCCAAGTTTGCAATGTGACATCCACATCTACATGCTGAAGGGAAAGTTGTAAAAACAAATACAGGGAAAGGAGGACACGAGGATATCAATTTGCCAGTGTACTTTACATTCATTACTATTATTATTGTTGTTATTATTATGAGACGGGGTCTCCATCCCCAGGCTGGAGTGCAGTGGTGCAATCTCAGCTCACTGCAACCTCCACCTCACAGGCTTAAGTGATCCTCCTGCCTCAGCCTCCTCAGTAGCTGGGACTATAGGTGCGCAGCACCAAGTCTGGCTAATTTTTTTTTTTTTTTTTTGAGACATGGTTTCACCATGTTGCCCAAGTTAATCTTGAACTCCTGGACTCAAAGGATTCATCCACTTCAGCCTCCAAAGTGCTGGAATTATAGGCTTGAGCCACCACAATGAACACATTCACTTTTTTAAAACTGTCTTTAAAAATAATTCCCAAATTAGAGTTTCAAAAATAATATGAACAAATTACACTTAGAAAAATATGTACAATCTATTTAAGCATATACCTTAAAGAGAAATAAACTCACTTAAAAATATAAATGTTTTGTTTGTTGAAAAAATATTTTTATTGTTGCTTATGTCAACACATAGACATATATTTTCTTTTAAAACATTTTTTCAGCCAGATGCGGTGGCTCACACCTGTAATCCCAGCATTTTGGGAGGATGAAGAGGGCGGATCACTTGAGGTCAGGAGTTTGAGACCAGCCTGACCAACACAGTGAAACCCCGTCTCTACTAAAAATACAAAAATTAGCCTAGCATGGTCGCACTCGCCTGTAGTCCCAGCTACTTGGGAGGCTGAGGCTTGAGAATCACTTTAACCTGGGAGGCAGAGGTTGCAGTGAGTCGAGATAGCTGTACTCCAGCCTGTGCAACGGAGTGAGACTTCATCTCAAAAGTAAAACAAAACAAAAACATTTTTCATGGGAAAGAATTAGGCATTTGGTGATGTTGATGCCAGTTTAAGAGTCTCATGCTCTACTGACTGAGCTAGCTGGCCCTCCTCATTGTCCAACTTAAATTGCTTCATCTCTGATGTACAATTTCAGGCATGGGCTTTGCATGTTATTTGCTTTTCCTTCTGTTTTCATACAGAGGTTGTAAAGCTGGAAATATGAAATCCCTTGAAGACAAAATCAAATCAACAAGAGTTACATGGGGTAGCTTTAGAAGCATTAGGCACTTATGTGAAACATAACTGGTCTCCAAAAGCGCACTGCCCTATTTACTCACACAGACTAAACACTGAATATTTAACAAAGGTGTAATACATTTTCATTGAATTAAGGTTTCTGTTTTTGCTATTTACAGTATGCCAGAGAGGAAGATGCACACTACACAATATGAATAATGCCCATACCTATAAGGGTCCCAGAAGGAGACAGATGGCATACCTAACAGGTTCATTAAGATGGTTTAAAAAAGGTGTTGATTACAAATGTGTTGGTAGGCTTCAGAAAGACAAAGAAACATGGAACTGTATCCCAGGACTAGCAAAATGAAGGAATAAAGATCTTAGATTTATGGCAAAAGAGAGAACTTAATGTGAGCAGGGAGTGAGTAGGTGTGTGGAGAGGACCACGTACCCAGAGCAGCAGCCTTTCACAAAAGGATTTTGCCAAAGTGACTGGTTAAGTGGAAGCTGAATATCTAATATCTCAACCTTACTCTCTTCCCTCACTCTAATCTCCTGGCATTCTGAATTACCCAAACTCAGAAGCTAGTGGGTAAGGGTGCCCATGAGGCAGTACATGCAGTTTAGCTTCTTGGGGGCACGAAACAGGATAGAGAAGGATGAAGAATAGAATTTGGAAGAGCAAATGGAAAATATCCAGTTAATTTTCCTGCTATTGGGTGGTAAGATATTTAGTGACATAACACACAAGAAGCCATAAGCCCTATACGGTGCTGGGAAGATTCTCAAGCTCCTTTCTCCAGTTTGTATCAATGTAGCCCCTTGGCACCTATATTACCTATGCTTGCCTAGTAAGTAAGCAGTGCTCAATTAGTCCATTGTGCCCTTTTCTCTAAGAGTCAACTAGTGAGGGGAGGACGACATTTAAAATACAGTGAAATAACATAGATCTAACACTCTACCTGAATGAAGCTGGAGTTCTGTGTGACAATTTTCAAGACAGTATCTTAATAGTGGAAATGCCTTTATGATATGCCTGTGAGGTTTGACAAAATGATTCTTAAATTTAGGAGGTAAAATTTTCACTTATTGAAACATTTCTATCTCTCTCTATGATGCCTTTAAGGGGCCTTTTTTTTTTTTCTGACCAATGCATGGTATCTTCATTTCACTCATTCTTCCACATGTGATGTGTGATTTTATCAGTGAAAGACATGTGATGTGTTTTATCAGTGTAAGACTATAATTTGGTGATCTCTTAGCAGATTAAACAATTTGATGAGAAACCACATATATAATTTCCTTGAATTTAATTAGCCTGCCTGTACTTAAGTAGAATAACCATGAGGGCCTTTCATTATTTATGAAGCTCTACTAGTGAAGCAGATTGGGATTTTCTGTTCCCTTCATTTTGGGGAAAACAAAAGAATAAGAAGCAATGCAGAGTACATGGACTCTGTCCATGCCTCCTCTCAGTACACTCCAGGAGAAGGGCACTATGCAAAGCTTCTCTTATATTTGCACTATTCTTGTGTGAAGAATTGGAAGGTATCAATCTCAAAAAATATCAAAGTTCATAGAAGGAGATTGACCAGGAGGAGTGGTGGCCATGCTTTGCTTCTTCATGATTTGGCTGAGATATAGCCTCTATTTCCATAGCTCCTAAAGAATCTGAGAAGAGATTTCAAAATTTCAGTATGCCCCTTTCAAAGGATGGAATTTAGCTTACAGAGAAAAGAGAAAAAGTCAAGGTACAAAGAGGTGAATTGTGGGCCACTTTCTTGGGGATAAAAGGGAATATTGTGATTTCTCAGAGAGGTCACAATAATAAAAGTTGAAAATGAAGTTTAGACAAGATAATCAGGTTATCTAAATCTGTCTGAGGGATTTCTATGTGTTGTTTGGACTGATAAATCATACTAGCCATAGTCATACCAGTCATACTAGCCATGGCTAATAGGAATAAATGGAAGCAAACGTAAGACAAACCATGATTAAGACTTTTCTCCCTACCAAGTTCCCTGGACCTTAGAATCTGAACAGATAGTAGGGAATAGGAAGATACAAGTCAAAGGATACAAAGTAAAAATATGTAGGATGAACACACTGAAAGATCTAATGTACAACATGAAGACTACAGTTAATAATAGTGTATTGTATTCAGGATTTTTGCTAAATGAGGAGATCATAGTTGCCCTTGTCATGCCCCCATAAGGAATAGGGGGCATGAATAACTATGTGAGATAATGGATATGCTAATTTGTTCAATTTTATTGTATATATGTATCTTATCATCTTGTATATCTTAAATACACATATTACAATTTATTTTAAAAAACAGATAGTTGTGGGGAGAGGAAAGTTTTGGGGTAGTGTTTTAACTTCAATATAACTGAACTGTAAATCCGAATTGACTAATGAATAATTGAAGGGTATGGAAGTAAAAAATTCCAAATTTTACCTTGGATAGAGATAAAGTTCTCTCTCATTTGAAAAACTGTAACTTCAGGATAGAAATCCAACTGAGTTAAAGAAAGAATGCTATTTGTTATTTCACACATGTAAGCTTATAACTGCAATAATCCCTCCTTATCCATGAGAAATGGTTTTCAAGACCCCCATTTCTGAAACTGTCGATAGCACTGAATTCTATATACACTATGTTTTTTCTTAAACATACTTGTGATAAAATTTAAGTTATAAATTAGGTGCAAGAGATTAACCATCATAACTAATAATTAAATAGAATTATTATAACTATACAGGGTAATACAAGTTATGAGAATGTGGTCTCTCTCTCAAAATATACTTGTTGTGAAGACATGAGATGATAAAATGTCTACAGGATGAGAGGCAGTGAAGTGAATGGCATAGGCATTTTGATGTACCATTAAGCTACAATTGAGCTTCTGATGCTATGACAGATGGAGGATCATCTGCTGGGGGTGATCCTGGATCATCAAGTCATGACAATGGTGATGGCTGAATGTAAGGAACAAACAATATTGATGACTAAGGTTTGGGTAGGGTATACAGCATCAATATGACGGACAAAGGATGATTCACGTCCCAGGCAGGATGGAGCTGGAACATGCGAGGTTCCAGCCATTAAGCTATTCAGAACAATCCACAATTTGAAAATTGTGAATTGTTTATTTCTGGAATTTTCCATTTAATATTTTCAGACTACAGTTGGCTGTGGGTAACTAATACCAAGGAAAGTGAAACCACAGATAATGAGGAACTACTGTATAATTTATACCCATTCATATTTTTTTTTCTTCAACTTTTATTTTAAATTTGGGGGTACATGTGCAGGATATGCACGTTTGTTACATAAGTAAATGTGTGCCACGGTGGTTTGCTGCACTGATCAATTCATCACCTATGTATTAATCCCAGCATCCATTAATTATTATTTCTGATGCTCTCTCTCCCCTTAACCTCACCCGTGACAGGCTCCAGTGTGTGTTGTTCCCTCTCTGTGTCTATGTATTCACATTGTTCAGCTCCCACTTATAAGTGAGAACATGCAGTGTGTGATTTCTTGTTCCTGAATTACTTTGCTGAGGATAATGGCTTTCAGCTCCATCTATGTCCCTGCAAAGGACATGAACTCGTTCCTTTTTATAGCTGCATAGTATTCCATGGTGTGTATATATGTATATATACCACATTTTCTTTATCCAGTCTATCATTGATGGGAATTTGGGTTGATTTCACGCTTTAGCTATTGTGAATAGTGCTGCAATGAACATATGCATACAATACGTGCAGGTATCTTTATAATAGAATGATTCATATTCCTTTGGGTATATACCCAGTAATGAGATTGCTGGGTCACATGGTGTTCCTGCTTCTAGATCTTTGAGGAATCACCACACAGTCTTCTTCAATGGTTGAAATAATTTACATTTCCACCAACAATGTAAAAGTATTCCTTTTTCTCAGCAACCTTGCCAACACTTGTTGTTTCTTGACTTTAGTTTTGAGACAAAGTTTAACTCTTGTTGCCCAAGCTGGAGTGCAATGGTGCGATCTCAGCTCATTGCAACTTCCACCTCCCGGGTTCAGGCGATTCTCTTGTCTCAGCATTCCAAGTAGCTGGGATTACAGGCATACACCACCACACCTGGTTAATTTTGAATTTTTAGTAGAGATGAGGTTTCGCCATGTTAGTCAGGCTGGTCTTGAACTCCTGACCTCAGGTGATCTGCCCCCCTCAGCCTCCCAAAGTTTTGAGATTACAGGCGTGAGCCACTGTGCCTGGCCTCTTGATCTTTTAATAATTGCCATTCTGACTGGCATGAGGTGGTATCTCACTGTGGTTTTGATTTGCATTAATGATAGAGATGATAGAGATGTTCAGCTTTTTTTTCAGATGTTTCTTGGCTGCATGGATATCTTCTTTTGAGAAATGTCTGTTTATGTCCTTTGCCCACTTTTTAATGGGGTTGTTTTTTTCTTGTAAATTTGTTTAAGTTTCTTATAGACTCTGGATATTACACCTTTGTCAGATGGATAGATTGCAAAAATTTTCTTCCATTCTGTAGGTTGTCTGTTCACTCTGATGATAGTTTCTTTTGCTGTGCAAAAGCTCTTTAATTACATCCCATTTGTCAATTTTTGCTTTTGTTGCAATTGCTTTTGGTGTTTTCATCACGAAATTTTTGCCCGTGCCTATGTCCTGAATGGTATTGCCTAGATTTTCTTCTAGGGTTTTTATTGTTTGGGGTTTTACACTTAAGTCTTTAATCCATTGTTAGTTAATTTTTGAAAAGGTATAAAGAAGGGCTTCAGTTTCAATTTTCTGCATATGGCTAGCCAGTTCTCCCAGAGCCATTTATTAAATAGGGATTCCTTTCCATATTGCTTGTTTTTCTCAGGTTTGTCAAATATCAGATGGTCGTAGGTATGTAGGCTTACTTCTGAGTTCTCTATTCTGTTCCATTGGTCTATGTGTCTGTTTTTGTATCAGTACTGATATGGTTTAGCTGCACTCCCACTCAAATCCCATCTTGAATTGTAGCTCCCATAATTTCCATCATGGTGGTGGAAAAGACCCAGTGGAAGATAACTGAATTGTGGGGTCAAGTCTTTACTGTGCTGTTCTCATGATAGTGAATAAGTCTCATGAGATCTGATGGTTTTATAAAGGGGAGTTCCCCTACAAAAGCTCTCTTGCCTGCCACTATGTAAGACAGGACTTTGGTCCTCATTCCCCTTCAGTCAGGATTGTGAGGTCTCCCCAGGCATGTAAAACTGCGAGTCAATTAAACCTCTTCCTTTATAAATTATCCAGTCTTGGGTATCTCTTTATTAGCAGCGTGAGAACAGACTAATACAAGTAACATGCTGTTTTGGTTACTGTAGCCTTATAGTATAGTTTGAAGTTGGGTAGCATGATGTCTCCAGCTTTGTTCTTTTTGCTTAGTATTGTCTTGACTATATGGGCTCCTTTTTGGTTCCATATGAATTTTAACATAGTTTTTTTTTTCTAATTCTGTGCAGAATGTCAATGGTAGTTTAATGGGAATAGCATGGAATTGATAAATTACTTTGGGCAGTATGGCCATTTTCATGATGTTGATTCTTCCTATCCATAAGCATGGAATGTTTTTCCATTTATGTCCTCTCTGATTTCCTTGAGCAGTGGTTTGTAGTTCTCCCTGCAGAGATCCTTCACTTCCCTTTTTAGCTCTATTCCTAGGTATTTTATTCTCTTTGTAGCAATTGTGAATGGGAGTTTATTCATGATTTGGCACTCTGCATACCTTTTGGTGTGTAGGAATACTAGAGATTTTTGCACATTGATTTTGTATCCTAAGACTTTGCTGAAGTTGCTTATCAGCTTAAGAAGCTTTTGGACTGAGACAATGGGGTTTTCTAGAAGTAGGATCACGTCATCTGCAAACAAAGATAATTTGGCTTCCTCTCTCCCTATAGGAATGCCTTTTATTTCTTTCTGTTGCCTGATTGCCCTGGACAGAACATCCACTACCATGCTGAATAGGAGTGGTGAGAGAGGGCATCCTTGTCTCATGCTGGTTTTCAAAGGGAATGCTTCTAGCTTTTGCCCATTCAGTATTACATTGGCTGTGGGTTTGTCATAAATGGCTCTTATTATTTTGAGGTAGATTTCTTTAATACCTACTTTACTGAGAGTTTATAATATGAAGGGATGTTGGCCGGGCGCTGTGGCTCACGCCTGTAATCCCAGCACTTTGGGAGGCCGAGGCAGGTGGATTATGAGGTCAGGAGATCGAGACCATCCTGGCTAACATGGTGAAACCCCGTCTCCACTAAAAATACAAAAAATTAGCCGGGCATGGTGGCGGGCACCTGCAGTCCCAGCTACTCGGGAGGCTGAGGCAGGAGAATGGCGTGAACCCAAGAGGCGGAGCTTGCAGTGAGCCGAGATCATGCCACTGCACTCCAGCCTGGGCGACAGAGCGAGACTCCGTCTCAAAAAAAAAAAAAAAAAAATGAAGGGATGTTGAATTTTATCAAAGGCCTTTTCTGTGTCTATTGAGATAATCATGTAGTCTTTGTCTTAGTTGTGTTTATGTGATGAATTACATTTATTAATTTGCATAGGTTGAACCAGCCTTGCATCCTAGGAATGAAGCCAACTTGATTGTGGTGGAGAAGCTTTTCAATGCCATTCACATGTTGGATTCATCCTTTGAGTGCAGAGAACAGTTATGATGGTCAATAAGTTATAGTGTGTTTTCTTGCTAAAATTTTATTTTCTGAGCTTTTCTATTCATTACAGAACGTAATTACAGTGTTATACATACTGCTACCCCAGGGTGAGATCTCTTTTCAACTCCTGTGCTAGCACGTTCTATTCTTGCCAAAATTAGAAGATCACAATTAGCTCCCAATCATGGTAGAATACAAACGATTAAAAATAGTTCAAATTTGTATGAAGGACATTGGGATTATGTACAGAGATGAAGGGACAGTACCTTCACAAAAAGATAGAAAAGCCATTTCCACATTGAAAACTAATTAAGGACAGAGAATTCTTCCCTCTTAAAAGAAATCAGTTTTTCCAAATTACAATTGATTTAAAGAAACAGCAGAAAATACTACTAATTAAACTATGAAATTTTAGACAGTTTGCAACCAATCTAGGAATAAGAATTATAATTTGAAAAACAGAGTATCCGATGAACTAGCGACAGATCAGATGGAATTATGGCACAGACAACTGAGAAACTGAGAAGCAGGGGTCCAAGGATGACTCAAAATAAAAAGGAACACAGACCAGACTAGAATGGAGGGACTTCTTTGAACCGTATCTTATATTTACCCAGTTATTTGGTGAAGCGAAAACCAATTTTTATGGTGTAGAATTTTACTAAATACACATTATAATACATCTCCTACCATAGCATGGATGCAGCCATTTATACATTCTTTTCATAAAGTCCTAATATAGAAACTGGTCACATATATATCAATATTTGTCTTGGAGAGGAAACTGTAAATTCTAAGTGTTTAACCCTTTTCATGATTTATTTCTGAAGAAACTGACTCTGAGTTCTTTTGAAAAAATGTTTTTGTTTTTGACATGCCTATTAATTTACAATCACTTCTTCTCTGTTAGACATATCTCATTGGATTATGAAAAACATGAGGTAGGTAATTTCTGCAGTGTCTTGGCTTGAAATGGTACAGAGTCTTCTTCACATTCAGTGATAACACATCATCCAAATAAAATTCTTTCTCTTAGAAAAATGTATAACAAAAGCACTCAGAGAAGATGGATTACTTCAATCTATTGTTGAAAATAATATTGAGCTATATTAAAATGTCTATACATGAGGTCTGCTGGTCACCTTAGTCTCAGTAGTGTTCCCGTAGTAACTGTATGACTAGGAAATGACGTTACACAACACTTCAGATTTGCTGTGTACAATTACAATTCATCCCTACTGGGGCATGTCTTTCCCTTGCTATGCGGAAGAGGTATACACTGGTAGATGTCTGGATTAGATGGAGGCTGTTTGATTATCAATTTCTAATCCTGATGACTATAGAACGAAAATAAGGTAAGAAGCCTACTTTACAGAATACTGAGTAAGCAGGGCATAAACTACACATTTACACAAGGCACTGTTTCAGCCAATATAAATACAACATGATGCAACTGCAGGAATGATTAGGACAACACAATACAAGAATCAACAATGTAGATTCGAGGGGAACTACAACCAAATACACGCTGCGACTTGGACTCTAGCTTCCTATTTTATTCCCCAGCCATTTTCTCTTCTTGTTTACCTCCCCTCTAAATCCTATTATTTTTCCCATCCCCTCCCCTAATGTCTTATGCCTTTCTAATGCAGATGAATTTACCTTTTTTCTTTTTCATTTTGGCAGGCCTTGGTTATTGCAGTTCTATGTCCCCACACTGACATTCACCTCTCACATGACTTATCAGATAATGTTCCCACATAAGAATTAGTCCCTTCCTAGAAAAATTCTCATGATAGATATTGAAAAGACATAAAAGAAAACTTAATTGTATATATGGTATATATGGAGAGATATACCATGTTCATAATATGTGTGTGTATATATGTATATGATATATATGTGTGTGTGTGCGTGTGTGTGTGTATGTATGTATGTATCTCCAATGGGTTACTTCCTTTTGAAGATTAGAAGTTTTAGGAGGAAGTAATATTTCAGAGGTCTTTTTACAATAAAGTGTATAAGGGCATGTTGATATCTTAACCTAGAACATGTCTAGTATGGAGGAAACAATGTTAAAAGCAATGAAGTGGCCAAGAAATACAGGAAAGCACAGGAAAATATGACATTTAAGCAAGACTTCTTGGAAAATAGTAAGAATGAGGTTGGCAATATAATGTAGGGTAAAATTAGCATAGGTAGTGAATGCCAGGTGCAACATTTCATGGATGATAGGGAAGAAAATGGAAGGTGAGTTTTACCTATAATACTATGATAATACACGCAAGTTCAGGAAAAGAGCAAAGAAAGAGCTAATGGGGAAAAGATATTAACTTATATTCGCCATTTTCTTTTTGGTGATCTCCTTCCATCTCTTCTGATTTATTTTGTAAACAGCATGAGGATTTTGCTATATCTGCTTACATTGTACAACTAAAAGCAATTCTAATGCTATCATATTACTTTGTTTTTTTTAATTCACTAATACATTTATACTTAAAAGGCCCTACACATGGAATTTGTCAAGGTACAAAGCCTCAAATATAATGTAATATAATCCTCTATAAATTGAGTATGTTCCTCAAGTAGAGCTTATAAGTGTTATTTTTATCAAAAATTTTAATTGAAATTTGAAACTCAGACTGTATTTGGTTTTTGTACTTCTATTATACCTTCCATGTGGCTTCAAATTAAATGTGTTTTTGTCAGCTTACTTCATTTGAAAAACTCTGTGCAGGTAATTCTTAATATTAAAAAAACTTCTTGAGAAGTTTAATCAGCAAATGGATTGTGCTTGGAAAAGAAAATAACTTATATTTTAAAAAGAATAAATTAGAAATATAATGTTTGATATAATTTTATTTACCTACAGAATGTATCACTATTTGACATCTATATCACATTAAAACAAAGTATATTATTGTTCTCTGAACTGTTGGATTTTTCAGACTTTATGTCTTAAATAATACTTTATAAATTTAAATATATTAATCTTTAAATCTTTATGCTTTTTATATATTCTTATAACTTGTCAGTAATCTTTCACTTAAGAAATATTTTAAAATATTTTGGTTTTCACATTTGTATTTTATATTACTTATCTAATTAAGGAGATTCAAGGAAAAATCAAATACAATGTTTCTTCTGTAGTAGTTTAATATTTTGCAGGGAGAGTATAAGTGTTCTATATTCAAATTAAATTCTAGTGCATTGTTTGGTGTGTTCTTTTTCATTTATCTAGAATACAATATTGGTTATCAAATTGTGCTTGCAGAGATAAAGCTATCTTTATTAAATATCAAAGTATTCAAAATGGCTGATTGCTTTCTGGGCAATTGCATTTTCTTTGGGGTTTCAAAATATTTTTTTAGATTGGATTTGTGTCTCTGTTAAACAATAACTACAGATAGTAATGTTTTCATTTATTTGTGAAATAGAACTTTCTTAGAGTTTATTGTTTGGCTATTATGTAAGAAAAAAAAGCTTTTTTTTTTTTTTCCCAACTGCCGGCTTCATGTTTAAATAGTAAACTTTATTTAGATTTAAACCTACAAATGTTTTCTATAGTGATATAATAATTCTGAATATAAAGTATTTGTTACAGTTGGCTAAATAGGTCATGTTCTTGCCAGCCTGAAAGATGTTTTAATTGATTGATATGTTTTTGTATACTAACTGATAAAGATAACAGTGCCCTTAAGGAGAACATTGTAGCAGAAAAGACAGAAAATCATAACAAGATGAGACAAATGCTGTAACACATTTATATACACCTAATATAGGACCATTGGCAGGTTTTATTTAGTTCTATTCTTTTTCTAGAGCTGTAAATGTAGGATCTTTTATCTTCAGTAGAGAAAGAGCTGGAAGACAGTACCTATTGGTGTTCCATGAACAAAGTTGAAGAACACAGACAGACAGGGAACCTAGTAGATGTGGCCCACAGGGTTCAGCATTCAAAGACATACAAAGATGGAAATGAAGAACATCCATCTGGAGGGCTAGATGAAAGATACTTAGCATTGCAAATACCTCCAAATACTTTTACTTATTTAAGTTTGCCGTACTTACGTGTGAATGTTTACTTCTATATAAAATTTAAAATCTATGTATGCAAGTTTTCTCAAAAGTTGTGATAGCTCTCTTAATTGGAATTGCATTAAATTTATAATTAACTTTGAGTTAATTAAAACCTTATTTTAAGTTGAACCATTAATGAACATGGTATATCTCTCTGTATCTTTGTTTTCTTTTATGTTCTTTAAGTAATTTCAAAAATTATGTCCATGTAAATCATGTATTCACTGTAATATAAATTCCTAGCTAATGTTTTATATTTGTGAAGTCTTCATATACTTCTCTCTTTTCCTTAATTGTTTATGGTTCCTTGGAGTTATTCTCTATCTTGCTATAATGTTATCAATCTCTTCTTTTGAGCTTGATGCAAGAGCTCAGCCCAAATTTCAACCAATTAACATTTGCTTTGCCTTCTTCTGAAAGATCGTTAACTTCAAAAAAGCTACGACCATAACCATGTTTCAAAAGCCACTTTCTCAGGTTTTTTCTTAGTTAATTTTCTATTCATGTTCTGAGGCTTGAAGGGTCTATAGATAAAACGTGAAATGCTTTCCTTAATCTGTAGTTAGTAAGTGCCTTCCTTAGCTGAGCTCCATAACTGCTATGGTATTAATACCAGATATTCTAATATAACTAGAGCTGCTGTTTTCTTTCTGAATCATGTAATAAAGGCTGCTATCTTTTCCTCTAGGCAACTTTCCACTATACACACACATACACACATATGAACACATTGAAAGTGAGCTTCTCTCTATATCCTTAATCCATTTCTTAAATTCTGTATCAAGTTGTGAAATAAATATATAAATTTATTGCTTCAAAAGAATATCTAAACTGGTATTGCCATGGGAAGCGAAGGAGGCAGTAATCCATACTAGTTTGTCATCCTGCCAGATGAATATTTATGTATTTCTCGAGGATGCTGTGTTCTAAGAAGTAAAATATTCACTTCACATGCCAGTGTTTGAGCAAAATATCAAAGTAGGCTCAGTTTGCCTAAATGCCCAGATGAAAAAATACAAATACAGAAGTAGAGTGAAAAAAAAAAAAAAGCTCATCAAGAAGAGTGTCCCAGAAACAGTAATTTGGGTAATATGAGCCTAATTATGCACCACCTCTTCCAAATCTGCCTCTAGCCTCCCCACAAGCAAACATATGCATATACCAAAGTACTAATGAGATTGTAAGCTTGCTTCTCAGGAGAGTACTTCAAGTTTAACCCTGTTGACATAGTAATGGGATCAAGCTTACTTTCTTAACTGAGTACTCTTTGACTTTGCACTAATTAGTTCTTCACATATTCTAGTAAACTCTAAAAGCTTCCGTTAAGGTATCTCAAATATTCTCATAAGTAGTGTATTTTAACAATTTTATCTCATCAATGCTCTGTTTATGGACGCATTTGATAAGTCATAGATTTTGTTCTTGAACCTGTTTTCCAATTCTCTTTTTCTTAATATAATACTCACTGTATGACCTTGGGTAATGCATCATTGTTATAATTGAAAAATGATGATAATTTTCTCCCTAATAAGTTCATGTATGTAAGATTCACTGGCCGTGAGTTAACACTCAGTACGTAGTAGCTTTTTAAAAAAATTCCTTCTATTGTCTTCTGAATTCTAGCATAACATGCCTCAATAATATGCATCACTAGTAGAAAGATATAGTTGTTTTGCTATAGTTATAGTCAAGATAATTATAGTCCAGATATAGTTGTTTTGTTAATATATGTCATTTCCACATATACAAGGAAAAGCACACACTAACCAAGCCACTGCAAACTATATGTGAGTGGTGCTCATGAGTAGCCATTCATTTTTTAGAATACTGTTTATATGGCATGCTTAGTAGTGATAACTCTAGCCCACCCACACAACCTGCTTGGCTGCTGCATGTCTGGGACAAACTAAATCCTTACTGTCGCTCATTATCATGAGTATTGCAAAAATTCTTCCATGTTTTATATTTTTGTTTTTCAACCATGAAAAACACTGCTTTTAAACCAGCAAAGCACTGTTTAGGGCTTTGCTGGAGAGAGCTCGACGTGTTTCAATACATATCGGACTCATAAAGATGTCATCTACATTTAGCCTTATAATTCTGTGATTAATTTTATATCCCAGTTTTGCTTATGGATGACAAATATCAAAGACAATTTAAAGGTTCAACATGAAGCAAATGATTGAAAAATACATATGAACACAATTCAATATAAGGGTAGCAACAAAGAAATAAAGGAAGTTATTATGCAATGTTACATAAAAAAATTCAAATTCAAAATTTCAAATTGTAAGAACACTGTCATTGAAATTAGTCAGGCAAAGGCTAAAAGGGTATATGAAGAAATAAATAATCATTTCATCAGAATTAGGTTATATTAGTGGATGTGCAGTGAATTTAATTTGCATTATTTTTCAAAATACCTGCATATCATTAAGTGAAATTACCTAAGAAATCAACAAATTGCTAACCCATTCTATGAATTAGTATTACTCAAAATGTTTCTGTCTTATGGTCAAGATTTTGAAAATATGGCATTTATTTCTGATACGTTAATTTTACTCAAATAATAGTTGAGGCCTTAAATAATTCTAACACTACATAAATATAATTGTATGTTATGGTGGAAAATGAAAGTTACATACTTCAAGATAAAAGATATGTTAGAATATTTATTTTTGCTGTGAGCTAATTTACTCTGACAGGAAACTCTTCCTTCAATACATTAATTTGCTCTCTTCCACTGTAGGGATATTTTGATAAAAATATTATTGAGAAGTTCTGCTTCCTACTTCATGAAATTTAAGGTCTAATCAGAGGAAAAATTCAGAGCTGATCAATTGTATCTTAACAATCTGTTTCTAAATTAAGGCAAAGTCTTAAATCAAAGCATGAATATACAGTGTATAAATGTATATATATATGTGTATATATATAGGTAGATTATGTATAGCATACACAATCTAATAATTATACATACATATATACAAATATACAGCATACATAATCTAATCGTTCTAAATCAAGTTTCTTTTTCTAGCTGAGGTCTTATATATCCTCTTCTATTTCACCATGCACCCTGTGACCCAAACCGAAATGCTCATCTTGTTCCAACCCCAGATAAAAAAATAGGTGACTAAATTATTTTAAGTCGACCTCACTAGGGTTTCAAACGTATCCCACACTTTTGATCACAATGGCTGTTATTGGTATCATGGACCTCTTTGCCTATTAAAGGATCTTCCAAGACAGCCGTTTAACTGGTCTCTCAGCTTTTTGTTTCTCCTATCTAATCTGCTGATACTGCCACTCAGATCATCTGGCCCCTTGAACTGTGTTACATATAGCAGAACCAGATAGAAATAAGATACCTCAAAACACAATTATTTGACTTTCTATTATATAGGACAATGTTATATAGGACAAATTGATTTCTAAAGGAAGATTAAACCTACACTTAATAATGAGAATACCAGAATAGTGACATGTATATTTATATGAAATATCAAGTTTCTATTTTGTTTATTAAAAAGTATCTGAAATGTACTGCTGATATGGGGGTGAAAGAAATATCTGATAGAACATATTTCTTTAAAAAAAGTTGAAATATTTAAAAGTTTGTCTAGGGAAATAGTGCCCATTATGATCAGATCTTTTTTGATATCTTTCACATTATAATTGACTTGTGAGGGCTTGTTTGAGTTTGAATATTTACTACTGTTTTATTTTTTTAAGTAATAATTTAATTATTTTTAGCATTTTCACTATTACTACTGAGTTGTCTTAAAGATTGTATAAGCATTTTCTGTTTAGTTTTCATGTTAATCCATAATAGTAATTATTATTTCCATTTGATTGAAAACAGAATTAAGCCTAAAATGATTATGCAACTAACCCAAGGATTCAGTGCTAGAAAGTAGAGAAATAGGAAATCAAATAGGGTTTTCTCTGATTCTAAAGTATATTTTATTAAGACCTACATTACACTGCCTCTCAGCTCTTTTCCATGTTCCTTAATATTAAATCAGAGTCGGTTTTACAGTCATAACTTATATAGGTCTTTCTCTCTTAATATTTCATGTCAAACATGAAAAATAAGTTTTAGGACTCTTTATCTAATTTTGCACATAAAAAAAGTTGCTCTAGTGGGTGTGGTGGCTCACACCTGTAATCTCAGCACTTTGGGAGGCTGAGGTGGGCAGATCACAAGGTCCAGAGATAGAGACCATCCTGGCCAACATGCTGAAACCCTGTCTCTACTAAAAATACAAAAATTAGCTGGACATGGTGGCGTGTGTCTGTAGTGCTAGCTACTCGGGAAACTGAGGCAGGAGAATCACTTGAACCAAGGAGGTGGAGGTTGCAGTGAGTCAAGATCGCGCCAGTGCACTCCAGCCTGGCGACAGAGCAAGACTCCGTCTCAAGCCCTCTTCTATGTTCTAACTGAAATATAACAACAGAAATGAAACAAAATGAAAATACAATAACAGAAATTCCTCAGCATTATTATGTTCTAAGCTTTAAGAGAAAAAAGAACAACGACCATTAATGTTGAATTCTACCTAGAATCCCAAATTACTTATTGCATATTTAAAACAAACAGTGTTTACAACAATATTTATGACAAAGATTTCAGATCTGTTGTTTTCTACAAGTAGGAGCTAGTGAGCTGTGTCAAATGCTGCAGAAAGATCATTTAGGATAAGGTAAACCATAGGCTTCCAACAGTGAAAACATGGAACAATGTCAGCGAAGGCGTGAGACAAATTTCAGCTTGGTATGACTGGAATTGTGCAGGCAGTGACAGTTTGTATAGATTGCCATTTGACCTTGAAGGAAGAAGACAGATGATCTGCAGTGGCTTTATGGCTTTATGGTCATAGGCAAATTACCGACCATAGTGTCAGGGAAGGCTTAATTGTGCTGGTAAGCAGAGGGGATGTTCCCTAGAAGCAATCAACATCCAAATACATGGGGAAAAACAAAAGCAGCAACAAACCTGGAAGAAAATTCTAAAGAGGGAAATTAGATATAGCCTAGAAACATAATGAAAGAACTGTAAAAAGTTATTCTTAATTTTGCATTGAGAGCAGCAAAAAATTAGCTTGTGCGCATTGGAAGAATACTAAAATGAAAAATCACAAAGAAAGCACACATATGCACAATCTGACATGTAACTAGCAACAATCACACTTTAAATGAGAATACTGTTATGTGTTTCACGTGATCCTCACAACATTCTTTTGAGGAGAAGATAGATTTAGTGTCCATTTGTCTACTAAGGAATAAAACCTCGGAGGTGTTAAGAAATATGCCAACAGGACACAGAGGCAGAAGTAGCATAAAATCTCCAGTCCAGAGAAAATGCTTGGTCCAGTGCCTATTTCATTACAATATACCCCTAATGTGCATACCCTATTATTGACACGGTGACACTAAAGAAATTCACAGCCAGACTTACGTCCTGCTCAGGAAAAGTAGCTAATGTTCTCTGCATAGTTTACAAAAGTCACTTCCATAATAAATGGTATTTCAGTTTTCTCTGTGGCCACTTAAATGAATACGGAGAGATAATGACATTTTCATTATTTTAGGAATATATTTGCATTTGTAATGATACAGCTCCTACCAGGAGCCAAAGCCATAGAGACAACTGTCTGAATTAATTATATTTGTTTGGCTGATTAGATAAAAAATGCAAACATAAACTGCACATCAACTACTTTAAGATTATTTAATCCTTCTCTTGAAAGGGAAATGGGTCTCTGAAGTTGTTCTTCTTTTAAGCTCAAAAAATAGACCATTAAATCAAGCAGCTGAAACAGTTCTTTAAAAATCACCCTCCCCAAAATTCTTGCATTTTCTCAAGAGTCTGAAATAAGTATATCAATCTACATAATATCAAGATTTATTTATTAATTTGCAGTTATTTCCTAGATTAGCCTGCTCAATTTTCATGAGCCAGTCCCCATGCCTCTATGGGGAGTGATGGCTTAAACTGTGTCCATTTAGCAGACAGCAACTTTCAAGTGAGGATAAGTGCAGCTAAAATGATCCCCCTGAAGTTCTCAATGTGTGCAATTAGCTTTGCAGATGTGCTTTGTCCACACCTACCTTTTAATGATCACTAAAACCTTGTTAAATGAAGCAGTACCAGTAGTCTCCTCCCTATACACACCAGCTGCCAGCCCACCTCTGGTTATCTAAGTTCTATAATGGAGTCCAAATGTGGCTGAAACCTTTTCAAAGCTTTGAATATTTTCGTAAGTCATGCCCCACTTATCAATGAAGAATAAATTTCCGAGTGGGAGCAGTGGTCCAAAACTTTACCATCTCTCATTTACATACCTTTCACTCCCTCACCCCATTCCACTTTATTCTAAAGTACAAATGGAATGTGTCTCCTTCCTGCTTAAAACCTTTCAGTGGCTCCTGTCACTTAAAGTTCAGGCTTCTCTATATAGTTCCAATCCATCTCCATGCTTTTTATTATTATTGTCTTCATACTTAGCATTGCAAAACTATATCTATCATCTATCTATCCACCCATTTGTCTCTTATATTGGATTTCTATATATTTTCTAATTTCTGATATTATGACTATATTATAGATTTAAATGACATATATTTAAATGACATATATTTAATGTCATATATTTAAATGACAGTTATTAAAATTTATAGTGACCACTTTCTACTGGGCTTAAAATAAATCAATGGAATATTTCGAAAAAGTATGTGCAAGGGAGGAGGGGTGGTACTTGTATGTGTATATGTGCATGTATGTGTGCAGATGTTCCAGAGACATAATTGAATATTAATCAGCAAGATTTCCATTTTGAGTAAAAATAAAAGGCTCTTACAGGGGCTTGAAACCTGTTTGACTTACCAAAGCAAAAGGGTCACAAGCATCACAAGCATTATTTCTCCTCTGTAGGCTAGGATAGTTCCCCATTGCAGAACTGGGTCCAGTGATACCAAGAGATAAGATAGGACAGGATCCCTAAGCAGAAAAGGCCCCACTTAATTAGTATAATGAGTAGCAAGACAGTTGTTAGCATCCAGAAAGGATGACTAACTCATACAGAGTCACAAACCTGGTTAATAGAACATGATGCCCCTAGGAGCAACATAGATGATAGCCATTATTGTTGTGTGTGTGTGTGTGTGTATGTATATATATATATATATGCAAATCTTTGCCTAGTGTCTATAGCTGAGCCAGTTTTTGAATATGGGACTAACTTGAAAAGAGGCCAGGTATACGTGAGGAAGTACCCTGCAGGAAAGGTACATGTTAGTAATTCCAGCATTCCTTCCACTAAGGGATCTGCTGCTATTTTTTTAGGTACTTATAGACTAGGGAAAGGGAATTACCTAGTATTTTAAGGATTATTGAACATAGGGCTCAAAATGACATTGCTACCTGGATATGTGGGGCAGCAGCATGTTTCACCCAGTTGATCAGGGCACTAAGAAGAACTGAAAGCAGAGTTCTGGCTAAGATGTGCATCTAGAGGGTCTATTGGGTCCATACACCTACTCAGTGGGCATGTCTCTGGTTCCTAAGGGTATCGTTAGAATATACATATAGTTTGTCATTGGTACATCCACTACATTGTTTTCTTGGAGGGATGGTGAGAGATACCATAGTGGGGAAACCCAAGCGGATGCCCCTAAAACTGCCCCTATTCTCAATCAGGACTGAGGAGCTGAAACAATATATTCTATGGAGCAGGAGTAGAAACTAGAGCCATCTTTAAAACCCTCATAGATGAGGGAGAGGTGTATCTTCTCCTATCATATCTCCGTATAAGTCACCGGCCTGGTCTCTACAAAACCATTAGAAAATGACAATGGACTAACACACTGCATGGGAGTAGTAGCCACAACTGCAACTGTAGGTAAAGATGTAGTATTTTTCGTAGGGCAAATTAATATGACTTTAGGTACGTGGTATGCAGCCAATGATTTGGAAAAATGTGATTTTATCTTTTTCAGGAAAATGGATCAGAAAGTTTGGATTCACTTGAAATGAACAGTGCCCATTGACATATTGATTAAGTTAACTATCTTAACCTTCATTATGATGAAGTCCAAAGGGTCCACATTTAACTATGCATCCTATAAAACAATGCATTGAACAAGTATAGTAATTATATAATGCCAATCAGACCAGAAAGCAAGGAATGGTTAGTACAGTGGAGGCTTTGACAAGGCATATGCTATCCAATGAGCAAGATATAAACCCTATGAACGCTGAGGATTCTACTGCATTATTAAAACATTAGTTGCATCTTGCTTCTTCCTTCATAAAGAAAAAAACTCAATGTTTTAAAGCCTCTTAAGTCTCTGGAATAGCTTATTTCATACTTAGGGAGACTACTTAAAATCATATACTAGGTGATAATAAAGATGGATACATTTTATTATAGTTGGGTCTGGTGCAGGTAAAAGTCTTCAGTAGGTCAGTATCATGACCCTGCACCTTGGACTTTTTCTTCTGTCCGGCCTTATAGTATAAAAAGTGTCAGTATTGGCATAAGATATAAAAGGAACTTAAAGGACAAACCCATTGGGGGAATGAAAATGTAGACCCTTAGGATTCCAGAGCAAATTCATTCTATCTGCAAATCACAGTAAGGTAGAAGCAGTACCTCTGAGAACCGGCCCAAGCAGGATGATAAGGCACAAGTGAGCTATAAAAGCACAGAGCCTAGATTCCTCTTCCCCATTCTACATTCTCTGAATAGTTCCCTAAATTCATAGCTATGGCCACATAGGATATGCCTATGACCAATAGACAGATGTCAACTCACGATGTAGGTATAAGCCAACAATGGATAACAGTTGCCCTGTAGTCCTGGGGCAGCCTAGAAAGGCAAGGGAAAATCTTCCCAAGGGTTAGACATTTGCGTAGGGCACCTGGTCATCCTCTCTGTGTGACCTGAATAGTCCAGAGTTAGAATATATATAGACTCATGAATAAGGGTGAATGGCTTGGAAGATTTGTTAGAAGCCAGGAAGGAGAAAAATTGGAAGAGAAGGAATGAAGAAGTCTGATGCAGAGGGATGGGGATGGCATATATGAATGAACATAAAGAGAGACATAATTATATTATATGCTATGCTCCACTAGAACGCATCCACTACAGAAGACGCATTCAACTGCGTTATAGAAAAAAAAATGACTCAGCCAGTTGACAACAGCCAGACTCTCTTATATCTGCTCTCCATAATTTACATTAGTTTCTTGTGTCTGTAACAAATTACAAGCCGGGTAGCTTGAAACAACAGAAACACATTCTCTCACAGTTCTGGATGCCAGAAGTCTGAAATAACTATCAATGGCCAAAATTAATATATTAGCAGGGCTGTGCTTTCTCTGGAAAAGAATTTGTTCATTGCCTATTCCATCTCCTGGTGGCTCCTTGCATTTCTTGGTCTGTGGCTGCTTCAGTCTAATCTCTACCTCTGTCTTCACATTGACTTTTCCTCTGTATGTTGCAAATCTTCCTTTGCCTCCCTTTTATAAGAATACATTTGATGTTATTTAGTGCTCATCTGGATAATCAAAGAATATCTCCTCATCTCAAGACTCTTACCTTAAACACATCTGCAAAGACTCTTTTTCCAAATAAGAAAACATTTATAGGTTCCAAAATTATAAATGGACATATTTTGGGGCCCATTATTCACGTTACTACAAGAAATGTCCTGCACACCCACCTCCACCAGATATGCAGTGCTGGCACAATGAGTAGTTTGATAAGATAGCCATGGTGGTGGGGTTGAAAGTTACATGTGGCCTCAACAGTGTAGGCTTTCATTTACCAAGTCTGGTTTATCTATTGCTGCTGACAAATATCCCATCTTCCAACAGTAGAGATCAATGCTGGATCCTTAATACTGCACCACTCCACTAAGAGATCACTAGTGATCATAATTAGTCACTTTATGCCAAATTGACTATATTGGATCTTTTATATTTTGAAAGGGGGTAACAATTTATTTTGGCACATATTTTGGGTATGGGTTTGCCTTTCCAGATTTAAAGACCTCAGCTAATACCACCATCTGATGACTGTATAGAGTATCATCAATTGGCACAGTCGGTCATGTATCATTTTGTCAGACCAAGGAATCTACTTAATAGTAAAGGAGATGAGAGAGTGGCCATTTGGCTCATTCCACATAGGCTTAAGTTGCTAGCCTGATGGAATGATGGAAAGGTTTATGAAGGGTTCAGCTGAAGGGTCACCTCAAAAGGGATGACAATTTTGTAGGATTTTCCAGACTTCAGAGTATGTTTTAAATCAATGACATTTACAAGTTGTTGTGTGTGTCCCATCCACCAATGCCAGGCATACACAGGTCTGGAAACCATGAGGTAAGAACAGAAGTGTCCCCACTTACCATCATTTCCAGAGATGTGTTTGGGGAATTTGTGCTTCCCACCAATCCTAGGCTTAGTATTTTAGATGTCCTTGCTCCCAAAATGATACTGCTTCTGCCAGTACACATAGCAAGAGTTCTGATTCACTATTAGAGGCTATTTGGATACTTTGGGATATATCTTTCAAGGTGCCAGCAAGAATTATTGACCCTGACCACCAGGAAAATGTAGGGCTGCTGTTACACAATGGGAACAGGGAGAAATATGTTTATACCAAGGTGATTCACTTGAGTATCTCTGAGTCCTTTTTGACAAATTATGGTGTTAAAGAGATGAGTCCCACAAATTCATTCTGGGAAGAGTATGTGACCCTTCAGGAATAAGGATCTTTTTCACAACACTAGGCAAACTACCATGACGTGCAAAGCTAACAACTGAGGGTAAGAGAGATAGTAAATAGATTATTCAGCAGGGAGGCAAATACAAGTTGTGGCGTTGAGTTGGGTTATAGCCCGGCAGCTGTTCAGCTAGCACCCCTTCTCCTACAAACTTTCCCAGGAAGAGAGGTCTATTGGAATCCTGAATGGTTTCTCCCACCAGAACTGGATTCAAGTAGCACAAGGGTGGGTTGTGGTGAATCCCCTAGGTCTCTCTCATTGAGGCTTAATGACTCATTATCCCAGTTTCCAAGAGTGCTCTTGGCACACAGTCCACGGGTTAGCACCATTTGTGAATTACCTCCACTAAAGAAGGTCACTTCTCCCAAGACCACACCCTTTCCTGAAACAGCCCATATCCCATGACTGATCCAACAGGGGTAGAAAAAACAAAATTTCTTGCTCCAACTTAAGATGGTATTGAGTGGATTTCCTAACTTCAGTGTTTTCTGTGAATTGTCTAAAGACTCCACTGAGACTGAATCACAGATTCTCTTTTTGCACAATTCTGTTATCTTCTCCTTTACCTCCACAGATGTTGATTCTAAGAGCACTCTCTCACAAACTGTATGACAGTCTGCTTTCTGTTGAACCCAACCTGTAGAGTCTCCAAATTGTTCTTCTTGCCACTTTGTCTCCTGCTTGCTCAAAACCCATGGTGCATGCTGAGGCATTATATTTAAAGTAAGTTACATTACATCTACTAAACATTGTAGAATTTAAAACTTTCCAGTCCATTTTAAATCCAATCAAACCTCTGATGAGGCTCTGAAGGAATGATCTTTTATTCAAGTTGAAAAATGAAAGTAAAATTCTAAGCCCCCAGTTGACAGAATGGACTCCCTCTTGGCCAAGGGAACCTCAGCTTGGAAGCTAAGTTCCAGGCCATGGCCGGATGGGAAGTTAGACAAGCCGTGTTATAACCTGTCTCTTGCTAACTGCAATTCAACCTTCATTTCTAAGGGCTAACCAGAAGCGAGCCCTTTCAAAAAGACTCCACTGCTGATTTCAACCAACCACCTGACTGCTGCCTCTCCCTTTTGCAGTTTCAACACAACAGACCAGCATTCCTTCCTGATAAGGGGCCACCAACCCTGGGGTGGTTCCGGCCAGTCTATGGAGGATGTGCAGTGAGAGTTCTGGTGTTCTCTGCTTCACCATTTGATGTCAGAGGGCTGAAAACTCCACCTTAGATCATGCTAACACTGCCATGTTTTTTAACATTGGACCCATGGAGAGGCATGAAGCTCCATTGCACATGGGCATGCCTCTCCTTTCATAAATATTCATAAGTCCTTCTATAGCTTATTGAATATGTATATTTGGCCACCCCTTTATGCATAAATAAATCCCTGTTTTATTCTTCTGGCCTTCAAAGTGGCTGCTTCTGGCTTTTGGCCAGAAGCTATGCTTCTTATCCTGTCAGTATGGTGACCAGTCAGGCTGCAACCCTTTCTAAAAAAAAAAAAAAAAGCTCTCCTTTATACATGTATAAATCTCATCATTCTTGAGTTGACAAGATTCCAAGATTCCGTGACTTCATATCATATTCATCCACTAACTTGGTCACTAACTACATACACCCTAGTCTCCTTCCAGTTGCAAGGACAGGATATACTTTTGTTTAAACCGTGGGATTTTGCACATGCTATATTCTCTGCTTGGAGTGATATTTCATCTCTTCTTGGCTTGTTCAGCTTAACCTCACCATTCATGTAGTAGTTTAAATATTGTTTCCTTAGTGAATTCATCACGGACCACCCTATCTAAAGTAGGCCTCCAAGAAATTCTATTTGTTCCCTATTTATTTTATTCATGGTTATTTTCATAGTCTGTATTTCTTGTTTACATGTTATCATCTGTCTCTCACTCAATACTGAAAGCTACATAATACCGTAAAAAATATATTTGTAGTGACTGTATGTGTGCTCACATTGCATTCTGGTACATCGTTCTTTCATAATAAATATTTTGAAGTGAATAACATCAGCATACTATGTAGTTAAGGTCATTTCTGCTCCCAGAAAACCTTCTTTTTGACAATGTTGCTCTCTTTGACTAATTCCTTTCAAACGACCATAAAAGTACAGCCCATTTTAGGTTTTGACCGAATCCCTTCTCATAAACCATGTGGGTAAACACTTCTCCTCCAATTGTATTGCTGCACTACTTCCAGTGCCATATAATACATACTTTTCATACGCCCAAGGAAAGGAATCTCAGGTCATGGATCTCTGATGGTGACAAGTCCATCAGAACCCAAGCATTACCTTGGGTTGACTATATGATTGCTCCAGATCTGCAAGCTTGATACTCACAATGACTCCTCATCACTCTTTTGTTGTGTAGTCCCTTTGCTAGTATAATAAATAATAATAATAAATAATGAGGATGGGGGAAATTTTTGGAGGTGATGGATATGTTTAAGTAGTAGATTGTGGTGATGGTTTCTTATACTTATCTCCAAACTCAATAAGTTGTGTACATTAAATGTGCATAGCTTTTTGTATGTTAATCGTACCTTAATAGAATGGTTTACAAAGAAAGGTAGTAATAAAATTTTTGGTGGCTGCTGGCTGTTTGTAATATGATGTGGCTCTTAATTTATAGGATGTAAGGTGGGGAGTTAATATTGTTGAGGAACATAGTGTGAAAGAGGAAACTACATATGCATGATGGTTAACTTGACATATCAAATTGAATTGGGCTAAGGGATGCCCTGATAGCTGGTGAGACAATTCTGAGTTTGCCTGTGAGGATGTTTTCAGAAGTGACTAGCATTTGAATCAGCAGACAGTACAGATCAACCTCACCAACGTGAGTAGGCCTCAGGCAACAGGTTGAGGACCTGACTAAAATAAAAAGGCAGAGAAAGTGAAAATGTATTGTCTCTGAGGTTGGACTACCATCTTCTCCTGCCATTGGAAATTGATGCTCCTGATTCTAAGGAATTTAGACTCTAACAGGGACTTAAACCATCAGTTTTTCTGGTTCTCCAGCTTGCAGAAGGCAGATCATAGGACTTCTCAGCCTTCATAATCATGTGAGCCAATTCCTCATAATTGGAGCAGAGAGAGAAGTTTCTGGAATAAAAAGAATGGGTAGAATTTAGGCTCTTCCAAAGGACTGTAAACTTCTTTAGAGACAAAGGGCAGGCTGTCATGTTATCTTTGTAAGCCCAGTTATCACCCCAGTGTCTGGCACACATAAAATGTGTGAACCATGAAAACAAATAATAAGTGATGAAAAATGAACTAATTTAAAATGATTTTTAGAGAAGCACCAGCAAGTAAGCACACCCTGACACAGGGAGGTGCCTGAATAGGTCCTGTGCCTATTGCACCTGGAAAGAATCAGACATATGGCTTTGAACAGCTTACTTTACAATGACTCCTTCTTTTATAAGATACTTGGCCTTTTGTGAGTGGAACTACAGCTGTCTCTGAAAATGGCAACATCTGATCCTGAAGCCTAGAATATAAAGCACTTGAAAATGTCGCTCATTTAAGGTTATCCTCTGATGCTAAGAGCCTAGAAAAAAATTAATAGGAGGATGTGGTAAAGGAAACGAACAACCGGACAACTACATTTATGAATATGAAGAACAGTAATGCATGCTTTCTGCCTAAGACTTTTTCCATGGAAGAATTCACATAGGTTTATCACTTTGGAAAATGTGTGGTCAGCTCAAGCACAGTAGAAGAGATAGAATTGTTTATCTCTTTTTAAAATAAATGTAAGCAGGGTACTATATGCTAAGTGGCTGTGATAAATCATAGGATCAGTATAATTGAAGGTCACATTGGAGGAGATTTCATAGATGGAAAAATGATTAAGGTGATGGTCTTTTATCAGATAATCTAGGTTCAAATTCTCATTCCACTCCTTCTTATTTATGTGATCTCATCTGTAAAATGGAGATTACAGTGTCACCTACCTCACTGAATCATTTGGAAAGTGACTATGCATGCAAAGCCTAGCATATAGTAAATACTCAATAAATATTCCTGCTAAATTTAAACTTCCTTTTACTGATTGGCACATTGAAATCCATTCATTAAGACTTGTGTGAAGCCTTGTAGATGCTTCAGGAGTTTTGCGTATAGCTGAGGGGGAAGGATTAGTATTATCATATCTGCCTTGGTTAGAGGCACACAATTTTGGGGTCAAGTGTGATTGTAAAGACTTCTGTCAGAGATATTTATCCAGAGATAAATAGAAGGAAAGGCAAAGACTAGGGGAGACTCAAGTAGTAAATACATAATTCTGCCTGGAGTGATCAGGAAGAATTTCTAGAACAGGAGGAATATAATCTGTGGTCTGATAGACAAATGGAACCAACAGAAAGCTACTAATAAGTTCTAAATCAATCCAGAAATTCTAACTTACCAATAGGAATATAAGAAATTAGAAAAGAGGTCAACCATTTGGGAGCCTCTTTTTTTTTCTTCTATTTATTTTTTGCTATCCCTTTAGAATTCTTTTGCTTTTCAGCTTTATTGAGTACAGTTGACAAATAAAAATTGTACATGTTAAGGTATACAACCTGATGTTTTGATATACATATACTTTGTCAAATGATCACCACTATCCAACTAATTAACATACCCATCACCTCACAGTTAACATTTTCTTTCTTTGTGTATGTGTGTGTGTGTGAGATAAGAACACTTAAAATCTACTCTTTTAGAAAATTTGAAGTATATGATACAATATTGTTCACTATAGTCACCATGCTGTGTACATTAGATCTTCATAACTAAAACTTTACCGACATCTCCCAATCTCCCCCTTCCCACAACACCTGGCAAACACTTAGATGTAGAATCTAAAATAGACTCAAAGAGCAGAGGGTCATACCCTAGTCTAAGCACTAACTGACACTCATAAGTTTTCAGGTCCCTTTTGCCCTCCTAAAGTTACAACATGAGAGATGTCATGTTCTAACAAATATCTTTATCTTAAGAATAAAATAATATTTTTAAATAGAAAATTGTTTTCATCAGCTCAGGAAGGATCCAAATTTGAGTCTCTCAAAGACAAGTGGTAGTAAGAATTCTATATTTCAAAATCCATTCTGAAAATTACTAGTGGATCTGAAGAGCCAGGTACTTTAGGATGCATTTAGTTTATTAGATAAATGCTCCTAGAATTTGAATATCAGTTTAAAAACACTTTTAAAACTACTAAATTTGCACATTAGGCGAGCTGCTTCCTTTCAGCAACTTTTAAATAATAATAAGAATTTCCATATCTTATGACTTGTGGCTTTGAAAAATGTTTCCATTTCATTACTGTACTATTCTCTCTTCTTTGCATTCATGAATATTCTAGGAAAAAACAGAGTAGAAGTTGGACTTTTAAAAAGTTGATCTCTATTTACATTCAATTTGAATAAGCTTCTATTTAAACAGGGAAAGTAGGTTTCCAAATTTAAAACACTAGTGAATAAGAAAAATGAAGATAATGCTATGTTTATTCTATTTGGTGCTAATATGGAATGCTACTGGAGGTGTTTCTTTGTCATTTTAATCCCAGAAGGCTTTTTTTTCCCTGAACAATCTCTGCCACCTGCATTCTGTTTAAGATATAATCATTCAATGTCTACAAACAAGTGATAACATTATTATGCATTTCTGTCCCTTTCATTCTTTACAAGAGTGGCAAATATCCCATTTCTTAGATCCAATAGCTCAGGCTGGGCACCAGCAGACTCATTAGGATTCCATTAATAAGCAGAGGCCTCTGGAGAGGCTAGCTTTTTCAAACCTCCATCTATTCTATCTCCCACTCGATTTTCCCAACAAAAGCCTTTCTGCTTGGTATCTCTTTCATTTCACCATTCCCTTTTTAAAAAGAAACAATGGAAACAAAGTCCTAAGATTAGATTGGTGATATTGAAATGATTCTGACAGCCGGTGACAATGCTGCCAACCCAAAATGGGATGCTTACATTATTTATGAACACTAAATGTCACCAATTTCCCCTTCATCAGATAATTTCAGGAGACAGAACCGTTTCTGTAGGGCGAGAGGGAGGGAGTATGTGTACATGTGCTGCTACCTCCCCTCCCTTTCCACATCAGCCCTTCCATATATCACACTGGCTCTGTGTCAAAATCTCCTCCCTGGGAAGAAAACAGGTGCACCTGACCATGTTTCAAGTTTTACTACAAGTCTCAGATCAGGTCACCTGATACGGATGTCAAGTGTGTTGTAAAACCAAATGGGACCCTCTGAAATGTGAAATCATTAGCAAATCCGCTAACTTTTTTAAAAATTCTGTTTCCTATGCTCCCTTCAGAAGTCAGTTATCAGAGGGAAATTATCAAGAGTTGAAAGGAAAAGACAGTATCCCTCTGGCACCCTGATCTATGTCTTGCTTTGGTGGTTGGGAAAGAGGGACTGGCATAATGAGAACAAACACAATCTATGTCACCAGGAGTATTAGTGTGAAAAGGAGATCGGAGCCAGCTATTCAGGGATATTTAACTAACATTTTCCAGGGAGCTCGAGTCTTTTCAGAGATTCAGTTGCTAAGTAGTTGTGTATAGATTTATTTCATATCACACTGGCTTTTATAATCTCATGTGTCCAAGTTGAACAGTAAAACGTCTTTAAAAATCAAGCACTCTATAAAAGGGATCTTTTGTGGGGAAGTTTTTGCTTAATTATTGATCATTGAATATTTCATCTTCAGCATTTAAAAGGAATCCTAGAGTTATTGAAGTCTGACCTTCTGTTTGTAGGTCAGTTGCCTGAGAACCCAAGAGGTTTTCTGAAAAATAGTTATTTCACTTTTGGAAATCAGATAGGAGGCTATAAACAAAGCCTGCCTCTGGCCTTGCACTCTTTGAATTCAGCTAGAACTTAACACAGCAACAGTTACTTCTTCACTTCCTGCACAAAACAAGAACCATATTTCTATCGTCATTTAGATTACAGGTTTCAAACATATCCATAAAATGCTAGATGTTACAACAGGTGCTAGATTATAAAAATGAGCAGGTCTTTTAAAAGCTGACTTCCAATAGAGGTTTAGGCAACTTATAAAGAATTAGGCTAGTGCTAGAGACAAATTTAAATGTCATGTGATGGTGCAAAGCATATATTTACTATTTACTCTCCCTGTTACAGTGTCCATTGGCTCTTTACAGAGTTTGTGGTGTATTACATTTTTTCTTTTCTTTTTTCTTTTTTTTCCTTTTTTTTTTTTTTTTTTTTGAGACAGGTCTCATTCTGTCATCCAGGCTGGAGTACAGTGGCACGAGCTCACCTCACTGCCACCTCTGTCTCCCGGGTCCAAGTGATTCTCATGCCTCAGCCTCCTGAGTAGCTGGGATTACTTACAGACATGCACCACCATGCCTGGCTAATTTTTTTAATTTTTAGTAGAGACAGGGTTTCGCCATGTTGGCCAACTTGGTCTTGAACTCCTGGGCTCAAGCCATCCACCCATGTCGGCCTCCCAATATTCTGGGATTACAGGCATGAGCCACTGCACTTTGCCCAGATTACCTTTTGGACATTATTATTATTATTATTATTATTTTTAGTTTTCACTATTTGAATTCTTAGTGTAGTTTGGTTTGCTTTTTTTTTTTTTTTTTTTAACCTTAATCCTAATACCTCCACTTAGGTCTCAGATTCCATCCTAGGAAAGCAGCTCCCAGATCATTTAGCTTATATAGTCCTTTAGACTTTCAAATTCTTCAGGATGAAATACATACAAGATCAGCCAATCAACTGTCACTTTGCTTCTACTTTGCTTCACCCCACAACTGCATATTGACTTCTACTAATGGCATAACTTCCTGTGTGTCATGATCCTTAAGTCTTTCTTCCTTTGCTCAGTTTTTCTAAAGATCACACCCTCCCACTCCCATTTCATGAAAGAAGGACAGGAAAGAAGAAGGTGGGAGAAGAAGGGAAGCATGCCCTGCTCCCTGCAGGGATGGATGGCTTGCTGCTTTCTTGTTTCTTTCCCCCCATGCCAGCTACTTGTTTGTTTTCCCTCTGACACCCTTTCACTCTCATTTTTTTTTCTTCTATTTCATACTTCTGAGAGGTAACCATTGTTACAGTGATTGTTCATGATTAGAAGCTAGTGATCAGTAACCAAAATCCAGCACATTCTCTTTTTGGGCCTCATATGTGTCAAACACGTTAATAGCACTGGAGACGCAGCAATGAATGGAAAAAAAATTCCTGCCATTACCAAGCTTTCATTCCATGAGGAGATAAAAAATGTACCTACTGGATTGATAAGTAATTGTATTCATCTGTTCTCATACTCCTATAAAGAACTATCTGAGACCTGGTAATTTATAAAGAAAAGAGGTTTAATTAACTCACAGTTCCACACACTCAACAGGAAGCATAACTGTGAGGCCTCAGGAAACTTACAGTCATGGCAGAAGGTGAAGGAAAGCAAGCACCTTCTTTACATGATGAGAAAGAGATAGAGAGAGAGAGATAGAGGAGAGAGAAGGGGGAAGCACTATACACTTTCAAATAACCACATCTCTTGATACATCACTATTATAATAACAGCAAAGGGGACATCTGATGCCATGGTCCAATCACCTCCCACCAGGCTCCTTCAACATGAGATCACAATTCGACATGACATTTGGGAGGGGACACAGAGCTAAACCATATCAGTAATATAACAAATTATGATTAATGATTTAGAGAAAAAAAAGTCATGCAACTTGTTTATTGAATAGCAGATATGATTTTGTCTCTCTCTGTGTCTGTGTGTATTGGGGGAGAATTTAGGAGCTATGTTGCAACAGATAATCAGAGAAGCAATCATTATACAGTGGCATTTCAGTAGAGACCATATGGAGATGAGAAAATAACCTTTGGTGACATTTGGGAAAGAATATTCAAGCAGAGAATTATATGAGTGGAAGGCACTGATATGGAAGATACACTTTGTTAGCAACTGGATAGATAGAACTGCCATTTACAGAAATGAATTAAGAAAGAATATCTTTTTTATAGGCATGTGGTGCATCAGAAGTTTAACTTTGGCCCTCTTAAATTTGTGGTTTCTAATAGACAGCCTATTAATAATTAAGGTAGGTAGCTTTGTATAAATATAAGCCTGGAGCTCAGACAAGAAAAATACTGTCATGGAAATGTAAATTTGGAGTCATCAGAATGGAGCTGGTGCTTAAAGATATGAGATGAGATTTTTTTTTTTTACTTTTTTTTATTATACTTTAAGTTCTAGGGTACATATGCACAACGTGCAGGTTTGTTACATATGTATACATGTGCCATGTTGGTGTGCTGCCCCTGTTAACTCATCATTTACATTAGGTATATCTCCTAATGCTATCCCTCCCCCCTCCCCCCATTTAGAGGGTGAATGGTTTTAGAAACAAGTTCTGGGAACTAAGACTGGAGTCTTCTAACATTTAGAGATCTCTAACATTTAGAGATCTGAGAAATGAGGGGACAAATCAGCAAAGGAAGCTATGATTCTTTTATGTGTCAACTAGGCTAGGCTCTAGTACCCAATTACTCCAACAAACAGGAATTTAGGTGTTGCCATAAATGTGGCTAACATCCATGCTGTTAAGTAAAGGAGATTCCCCTCCATAAGGTGAGTGGGACTTATTCAATCAGTGGGAAGGCCTTAAGAACAAAAATTTAGGTTTCCTTGAGAAGAAAGAATTCTGCCCAAGATTGTAGCATTAAATTCTTGCCTGAGTTCACAGTCTGTCAGCCTGCCCTATAGATTTCAGATTAAAAAATACAGTATTAACTCCTGCCTGGATTACCAACTTGCTGACCTGCCTTACAGATTTTAAACTGGCTAGCATCCCCTTCCCCCAACCCCACCCACTAATCATGTGAGCCAATTTCTTAAAATTTTTCTCTGTCCATTGAGAAAGGCCACACAAAAGAAAGGATGTTCTTCAAAAAAATAAATAAATGTAAAGTATCATAAAAGAAGTGGTTATATGTATATCCTGCTGCCTACAGGTTGAATAAGTTGCATACTTAAGATGGACTACAGGACTTAGCAAAGTAGTATCTATAGTAACATTCATTAAATGTTTAGATGAGTTGGTAAGGATGAAGTGTGTGCAAAAGAGAAAAGACATGGAGAAACTGTAGACAACGTATATGCACCTTTTTGTTGATACACAGTAGATGTACATATGTTGGGGATACATGGGATACTTTGATACACTGATGTATTGTGTAGTGATCAAATCAGGGTAATTGGGATATCCATCACCTTAAATACTTCTTTTCTTTATGCTGAGAACACTTGTTCTCTACTAGGTATTTTAAAATATACAATAAATTATTGTTAACTATAATCACCCTACCATCTATCGAATACTAGGCATTATTTTCTCTATCCAACTGTATTTTTGTACTCATTAATCAACCTCTATTCATTATTTCTAACCCCTTACGTTTCCCAGCCTCTGTAACCACCAGTCTACTCCCTATCTTCATGAAACCATTTTCTTAGCTCCCGCATATAAATGAGAACATGCAGCATTTGTCTTTCTGTGCCTGGCTTATTTCACTTAACATGATGACCTCCAGTTCCATTCATGTTGATGCAAATGGCAGGATTTCATTCTGTCTTACGGCTGAATAATATTCAACTGTGTACATATACCACATTTTCTTTATTCATTCATCCACTGCTGGACACATATTGATTTAATATTTTGACTACTGTGAATAGTGCTGCAATAAACATGAGAGGCAGATATTTCTTCAATGTATCGATTTCCTTTCTTTTGGATATAAATCCAGTAGTGGGATTGCTGGATCATATTGTAGTTCTATATTTAGTTTTTTGAGGAACACTCCTACTGCTTTTCATAGTGGTCGTACTAATTGACATTCCCACCAACCATGTATGAAGGCTCCCCTTTCTCCACATCCTCACCAGCATTAGTTATTCAGTCTTTTGGTGAAAGCTGTTTTATCTGGGTGACATGATATCTCATTGCAGTTTTGCTTTTCATTTCCCTGATGACTAGTGATGTTGAGCCTTTATTTTTATATATTTTTTGGCCATTTGCATGTCTTCTTTTGAGAAATGTCTATTCAGATATTTTTCCCATGACTTATTTAATTGCTTGTTTTATTCCTATTGAGTTTGTAAAGCTTTTTTATTTATAGGTTGGTTACTAATCCCTTATCAGATGAATAGTTTTCAAATATTTTATCCCACTCTGTGGGTTGTCTCATTTTGTTGATTGTTTGCTTTGCAGAAGCATTTTAGCTTGATGTAATGTTATTTGTCTACTTTTGTTTGGTTGACTGTGGTAATGCAGTCTCACACAAAAAATCTTGGTTTATACCAATATCCTAGCGCATCTCTCCAATGTTTTTTTTTCTAGTAGTTTCATAGGTTCAGTTCCTAGATTTAAGTCTTTAATCTATTCTGATTTGACTTTTGTATTTGGTGAGAGATAGGAGTATAGTTTTATTCTTCTGTATGTAGTTATTCTATTTTCTCTGGACCATTTATTGAAGAGATTGTCCCTTCCTCAGTGTATGTTCTTGCTGTCTTTGTTGAAAATAAGTTATTTGTAAATGCAAAGATTTATTTCTGGGCTTTCTATTCTGTTCCATTGGTCTATGTGTCAGTTCTCATGCCAGTACTATTTTGTTTTGTTTACTATAGAGTTTTGCAGTAAATTTTGAAGCTAGCATGACGCCTTCGGCTTTGTTCTTTTTGCTTAAGATTGCTTTGGCTATTCAGAGTCTTTTGTGATGTCATATACAGTCTTAGATTTTTTGTTTTTCTGTGAAGAATGGCATTGGCATTTTGATAGGGATTGCATTTAATCTGTAAATTGTTTGGGTAGTATTGTGATTTTAACAATATTGATTCTTTCAATCCATGAACATTGGATATCTTTCCACTTTTTGTGTGTATTCTGTTCAATTTTTAAAAAATGTTCTACAGTTTTCCTTGTACAGATATTTCACTTCTTTGGTTAAATTTATTCCTATATATTTTTATTTATTGCAGCTATGGTAAATGTGATTGCTTTCTTGATTTATTTTGCAGATTGTTAACTGTTGGTATATATAAATGTACTGATTTTTATATGTTGATTTTGTATCCTGCAAATTTACTGAATTTTTTTTATCAGTAGGTTTTTTTATCTACTAGGTTTTTTTTGGGGGGGGGGGGCACGGAGTGGAATATTTAGGTTTTTCTAGTCATAAGAACATGACATCTGTGAACAAGGCTAATTTGACTTCATCTTTTGCAGCTTGGATGTCCTTTATTTCTTTCTATTACGTAATTTCTCTGGCTAGGATTTTCAGTATTATGTGGTCTAAAAGTGGTGAGAGTTGGCATCCTTGTTTTCTTCTAGGTTTTAGAGAAAAAGCTTTCAATTTTTTCCCATTCAGTATAATGTTAGCTGTGGTTTGTCATTTATGACCTTCACTGTTTTGAAGTATGTTCCTTCTATATGCAGTTTATTGAGAGTTTATATCATAAAGGGATGTTAAATTTTATTGAATTTTTTTTCATTCAATACTGAAATAATCATATGGTTTATCTTCTTGGTTCTGTTAATGTAATGTATCAGGTTTATTGATTTGCATAGGTTGAAACATCCTTGCATCCCTTTGATGATTCTTGATCATAGTGATTAATCTTTGTAATGTATTACTACATTGATTTTGCTAATATTTTGTTGAAGATTTTTGCATGTACATTCATCAGTGATATTGATATACAGTTATCATTTTGTTTGTTTTGTTATGTTCTTGTCTGGTTTTTGTATCAGGATAATGCTGGCTTCATGGAATGAGTTTGAAAATATTCACCCCTTTTTAATTCGTTTTAAAAATCTGAGTATAGTATTAGTTCTTTTTATAAGTTTAATAAAATTCAGAAGTGTAGCCATCAGTTATTGGGCTTTTCTTTGACTGGAGCCTTTTTATTATGGCATCAGTCTTGTTGCTTTTATTGGTTTGCTCAGGTTTTCCATTTATTTATGGTTCAATCTTTGTAGGAGGTATGTATCCAGGAATTTATCCATTCTTTCTGTTTTCCAATTTATTGGTGTACAGTTGTTCATAATAGTCTTTAATGATACATTGTATTTCTGTGGTATCAGTTGTTCTGTCTCCTTTTTTGTTTCCAATTTTATTTAATTAGGTCTTCTTTCTTCTTTTTCTAGCTAAAAATTGTTGATTTTGTTTCTCTTTTTAAAAAACAACTTTTCCCACAATGTGATACTACCTTACTCCTGCAAGAATGGCCATAATAAAAAAAAATCTATAAATAGTAGATGTTGTCATGGTGGCAGTGATCAGGGAACACTTCTACGCTGCTGGTGTGAACGTAAACTACTACAGCCACTATGGAAAACAGTGTGGAGATTTCTTAAAGAACTAAAAGTAGAGCCATCATTTGATTTAGAAATCCCACTACTAGGTATGTACCCAGAGGAAAATAACTCATTATTCGAAAAACGTGCTTGCACATGCATGTTTATAGCAGCACAATTTCCAATTGCAACCCAAATGCCCATCAATCAAGTGGATAAAGAAACTGTGATATATATATATATATAAAATGATATACATGATATACATATATATATGATATACGTATCATATTATGATATATGATACGTATCATGTTATGATATATGATATACGTATCATGATATATGATATACGTATCATATATCGACATATGATATACGTATCATATTATGATATATGATATACGTATCATATATCGACATGATATACGTATCATATATCGACATATGATATACGTATCATATATCGACATATGATATACGTATCATATGATATATGATATACATATCATGTCGACATATGATATACGTATCATATGTCGACATATGATATACGTATCATATGTCGACATATGATATGATTATATATCATAATGTATATCATATATCATAATATGTGTATATATATTGTATTACATATAATATACTACTACTCAGCCATACAAAGGAATGAATTAACGGTATTTGCAGTGACCTGGATGAGATTGGAGGCTATTATTCTAAGTGAAGTAACTCAAGAACGGCAAACCAAACATCCTATGTTCTCACTGATAGTGGGAGCTAAGCTATGAGGATGCAAAGGAAAAAGAGTGATACAATGGACTTTGGGGACTTGCAGAGAACAGTGGAAGCAGGGCAAGGGATAAACAAACAAACAAAAACTAAAAAGCAAATTTTCATTTTATTGATCTTCCGTATACTTTTTAGAATCAATGTTATTTATCTCTAGTCTAATTTGTATTTATTTTCTGCTACTCATTAGGGGTTTGGTTTGGTTTGCTTTTTTCATTTCTTGGGGTGTATTGTTCAGTTGTTTATTTAAAATATTTTTTCTTTTTTTTCTTTTTTTTTTTTTGAGACAGAGTTGTGCTCTGTCACCCAGGCTGGAGTGCAGCGGTGTGATCTCAGCTCACTGCAACCTTCACCTCCTGGGTTCAAGTGATACTCCTGCCTCAGCCTCCCAAGTAGCTGGAATTACAGGTGCATGCTGCAATGCCTGGCTAAGTTTTTGTTGTTGTTGTATTTTTAGTAGAGATGGGGTTTGGCCATGTTGGCCTGGCTGGTCTTGAACTTCTGGCCTCAAATGATCCACCCACTGCGGACTCCCAAAGTGCTGGGATTACAGGCATGAGCCACTGCACCTGGCCAAAAATCTTTCTACTTTTTTGATATAGGTATTTATTGCTATAAACATCCCTATTAGTACTGCTTTTGCTGTAATTCATAGATTTTGGTATGTTACGTATTTTCACTGTTTTAAGAATTTTTAAAACGTTCTT